>NW_003571054.1:800652-987716 GCF_000001405.40 Homo sapiens | reverse complement strand
AAGCTTCAATCTTATCCTTTTAACCCTCAAACCTTTTAACCCAGTCCGACACCCAGCAGCGACTTAGACAATTGCATTAGAGCCTCTGGAAAACCAAGAGTTTAATCGTCCAGCCTTTACCCCTCTCGGGGGCCCAGAGATACTACCACTTCCTAACTTTCCCAGAAACTTGCCCCCAAGCCCTTGAAGTCCCAAGCCTGCTCCTCTGGGTCTCCAGGATCCCAAGCACCAGACTTGGGCTCTTCTTCAAAACCCAAAGGTCCAATTCCCCAGCCTCTCCCCTCCAATATCCAGGGCTCTGTCCTCCTAGGGAGCCCAGGCATGGTGCTTCCCAGGCCCTGGGAAAACAAACTGGCTTCTTCCAGCCTTTTGGGGATCCAGGGATCCAACCTCTCAGACTTTACCCACTCCCAGCCCCCTTCCTCCCTTAGGCCCAGGAATCCGGGTCTCCATTCCCAACTCCCTTAGCCCCAGAAGTCTGGGTCCCGCCCCCTCCCACCCTGCTCCTCCCTCTCTCCCAGCCCCGGCCCGCCCCATCACCATCTCACCCACCTGAGAAGAGCCAGGAAGACAGAAGGAAAAACACAGAAAAAAAGGGGGCGGAGTCAGCATCGGGAGCCCCCGGGACGCACCCCTCCTTGACCCCCTTGCCCTGCCCTGGGGCGGACACTCACCCATTGACAGCGACCTGGGGGGCGCTTTGCTGTAGGAAGTAAGACAGTCGGGTCAGGCGGGGCCAGGCGGACCGGCCGCGCCCCCGGACTTCCCAGCCTCGGCCCTGCTGTGTCGCTTGGGTCACCTGCCGGCGCCTCCGCTCGTGCTGTAGCTGTTTCTCAACTGGGTCCTCCCAGGCGCGGCTCTGCGGGTCAGTGACCGGCGGCTCCCAGCCGCTGAAGAACTCGGGTCTGTATGGGGGTCCCTCCTCCGGGGACAGCTCCAGCCTGCGGCCAGGGACAGGGCCAAGAGCTCAGGGATCCTGATACAGCCCCCAACTTCGTTCCTGCATTAACTTCACTAAGTTTTCCCCTAAAGCTCGCTGTATTCCAACGATTCTAGCCCCGCCACTTTTCACCAAGTCCTGCCGGTAGCTCTAAGCCCAACTCAACAGCAATTTATATTTCTAGACCGGGCACGGTGGCTCACGCCTGTAATCCCAGCATTTTGGGAGGCCAAGATGGGAGGATCGCTTGAGGCCAGGAGTTCCAGACCAGCCTGGGCAAAATATTGAGACCCCATCCATCTCTCTCTCTGGAAAAAAATTGCCTTATCCAGCCTCTAAATCTCACCTGATTCCAAATCAGGTTTTCCGTAAGGTCGGTTTCAGGTTCTGACCCTTTCCCTGCGGAACTGCCAGCCCGCAGTGCACAGACTCTGTCCCATCACCAAAGTTATAGACCAAACCTTCCAGAAGCCCCGCCCCTTCGCGTAGCCCCGCCCCTGCCCCGTAGCCCCTAGCCCCTCTATTCCTTTAAGCCCCCCTTTTCTTTCAATCCGATTGGTCTGGTGGTCTTAAATCTTTCCTTCACGTTAATTCCTGGCCTTTCCTCCAATTGAATCTTGGCATCTGTCCTAAGCCCCGCCCCAACACAACTAAGCCACGCCTCTAACCCCTCCCTACTCTCCTAGTCCTATTTTCCAATCATCATGCCACCCACCTCCCAGCGCCTTATGCTCCTCCAATCACCATGCCCCCTGCCTCCCAGCCCCGCCCCTCACCCGGGGCGGGTCCACGAGTCCCCCAGCGAGGTCCAGAGCTCGTTTTCACGTGGAGTGACGTTGTCCCGCAGCAGCGCCACGGCATCCGATGTCAGATGCGGCCGCCGCACACTGCTCGCGAACTCCGGCCCCCCCGACGTGTTCACAATCTGTCAGGGGAGCAGGAGGGGCAGGCTGTGCCGCCACACCTTCTACAAGTCGAACCCGATTCCTCCCGCTGCAGGGGGGCCCGAGGGCCTGGGGCGGGTCTCACCATCTGCAGAGGCCCGAAAAGGAAGTGCAACAGCTCCGGAGAGGAGGGGTCGGCGATGTTGCCGCGCAGCCGGGCCTGGGGCGTGGGGAGGGAGGTGGTTGGCGTGGGTGCGGGGACGGGACAGGTTCGTCGTGCCCGCGCCCCGGCCCAGGGGCGGGCGCGTCCTCACCAGCAGGCTGAAGGCGTACTTGATCTTCTGCAGCACGTCGGTGTACTCGGCCTCCGAGGGCGGCTTGGCCCGCAGCGTCAGCAAGCCCTCTGAGGGGAGCAGACGGGCGCGGCGATGGGGACGCGGGGCCAGCACCAGGCAGGCAGAGAGAGGTGGACACCCGGTTAAGATGGCGGTGAGGTCAGCCCTGGCAAGTGGCGGGAGGGGAGAGCCTGGGGAGAGCGGGGACATTTGGAAGAGATCGGGAGGGGGTTCAGATCCCACGCCAGGGTGCCCCTTACCCCCAGCCGCCCGGCGCCGGCTCCTGCGGCCGCGTTCCCGGTGCTCCAGCACCCTGGCCGCCTCCGCCGACTTCTGCAGCCTCGATACAAAGCTCTCTACGTCGTCGAACACGTGGTTCAGGATGTCCTAGGGGACAGAGGAGGGGGACGCTCAGGGCTCCCGAGTTCCAAAACCATCCCCGTCGAAGCCCTGAACCTGAGCACCTATACACTTCCCCAGATCAGGCCACGCCCCAAACACCTGGCCACGCCCCACAACCAAGCCCCGCCCCCGACCCAGCCCCTCTTCCATAACGCAGAAGTCTGACCAGAGAACGCCCGTCCCGCAGCCGGCCCCGCCCTTCCACGCCCTAGCCCCGCCTCCAGTCGCCTGGCCCTGCCCCCAGACCCCTTCCTTAGCGGCTCACCACTTCCCGCTCCGCCTGCAGAACCGCCAGGTCAGGACCCCGGGGACCCAGGTCCGGGGAGGCCGAGTCAGCGTTGCTCGAGGTCCCCACCGGCTCAGGCCTCTGCGCCTCCTCTGCCTCGGGAATGGGCTTCGCCTGGGGTCGTCCGCGGCCCGCGCCCCGCTCTACGGTGCTGATCACTGCGCGGACTGACGGGCGGCGCTGCAGGGGCGGGGTCTCAGCGGCGGGCGAGCGGTCGCGCTGCAACTCCTCCTGCGTGGCCCTGCGGAGGGCGACGGGGACACCAAGACTGGGTCCACTGAGGGGTCCAGGGAGGGGGAAATCCAGGGCGCAGAACGAGACACACAGGCTCAAAAGGCTCAAAGGGAGTGAACAAGTTCAACGAGGTAGGGAGAAATCCGATATACGGAGGGATAGCACCTCTCTAGAGTGAAACTGAGGGCCTGGACAGGGAACAGAGAAAAGAAGCAGAGTTCTGGAGAAGGGGTCAGCTCGTCTGGGAGGTACAGACAAGACTCGACTAGGGTGTGCTTGACTCCATGCAAAACTCTTGTTCTGTTCCAGGCTGGTGTTGTAGACTGAGGCACAAGGAGGGGAAACCGGCTTCCCAGAGACCCTGCCAACTTCTTCCCTCTCACCTGAGCGCCGCCGCCCTGCGCTCCCCGCGGCCCGAGCGGTAATTGTGCAGAGCCCCCTGGATGTCCTCTCGGATCAGCTCCGCCTGCCAATCACACCGTCAGGCCACGCCTCCCCACGCCGCACCCACTTCCTACCCGGGCCTCGCCCCTGGCCGATTTTTCAGCTCAGTCCCAGCCCACGTGCGGCTACCGTTCACACCTGTGAACCCACGCACGTCCACGCCCCGAACTCACCCCTCGCCCTACACCTGTCCCTGCCCTAAGCCACGACCCCGCCCATGGAGACCCAGTCCGGGTGGTTCCTCGCCCCCACCTCGTCCTGGCTGCTCCCCCAGATCCTTCTTGGCCATGTTCTGTTCATGTCCTCATCCCACCTTCATGTTCTATCTTGACCCTGGGTCCAATCTCAAACCCCACTGCCTTCCAGAACTTCCTTCCCAGGTCCCCTGCCCTTCCTTGCTCTGATCCCGCCTTAGCCCCAGGCCCCGCCCCACCTAGAGGCCCCACCCATTTCCGCCCCGGCTCCAGGCTCCGCCCAGTTCCAGCTCCACCCCCAGAGCCAGCCCATCTGCTCACCCCGAGGCGCAGGCCCTGGAAGAAGTGCACGTCGGGCTGCGCGCGCTCGGGTTCCTGGCACACGAGCAGCAGCAACGAGCGGCTCCTGCCGGGTGGCATCACCGCGTCACAGCGCACGATGGCGCCCAGTGGGTACGACTCCAGCTCCTCCTGCCGGGTGGGATGGCGGGGTAAACTGAGGCCCCGAAATGATGGTACTACTAAATGGCGACGGGAGTGTGGGCCAGCAGGTCAGGGCAACCTCAGGCGGTTAGGGGGTTAGGGATAACAGCCCTGTTTAATAGATGAGGCTATTAAGGCTCAAGAAGGGGGCTGGGGTCCCTCGCCAGAGTTCCCAGAGGAAGGACGTGCAGGAGCCAAGATTCACACCCAGACCCCCTGAAGTCCCTGCCCCAGACACTCCTCCCACCCACGTGCCCCCCGGCACCTTGGAGGCCGGGTCGAGCAGCGTGACATGGTCGGGAGACACTCGCAGCAGCATCTCCTGTGCCCAGACTCGGCCCTGGCTATCCATGACGGCCAACTTCCTGGAGGCATCCTCCACGGTATGCACGCCATCGTCCTCACCCAGGCAGAACGTCACCAGGTGCTGGTACGGACCATGGAGAAAGCAGTGAGGCCCAAGATGATGCCAGGTGGGCTCAGAATCCCCCAGAATAATCAGACTTTCAGCCTGAGACTAACCACACCTCCTCCAGGAAGCCTTCCTTGATCACCTGTTCCACAAATCAGCTCCTCCTCCCAGTGCCCTTTGTTTCCCTTTCATCAGAGTGACTAGCACCTGAGTCTGGCTTCTCACAGACTGGAGGCTCCTTGCGGGCAGGGAAGGAGTCTGGATTATAGCTCTCTCCTTCTAAATGCCTCCTCGGGTCTCCTGCCATGCCCCCTGCCACCTCCATTAGAGCACCAGGCGCCTCTGTGGATTCCTCTGGACCTTGTCTACCCCTTCCTCATGCAGGGCTGTGTCTTGATTTGCCTCCGTGGTCCCACTGTCCAGCACAACAGCTGGCCTGGAGGAAAGGCTGGCAGATTAAGTGGACCCGAGGCCCCTGGCTTCATATCCATGACTGAGGTGAGGCAACGGAGGTCCATTTTATGGATGGGCAAACTGACTTTCCACATGCTTCCTGCTTGGGGGCCTAGCTGCTTTCAAAAGCCCTATCTCCTGAGGCCACCTTTGCCCCAGAAGATGTCCTGGGGGAACACAGACCCCAGACTCACATTGACTGGGTACTGGGATACATCAGCCATAACAACTGTGGAGTAACGCTTCCTCTGCTCTGCCAGGGGAGAAAGAGAATGAGCCTGGGAGTCCAGGCCCAGCCCCTCCTCCATCAGACCCAGGAGTCCAGGCCCCCAGCCCCTCCTCCCTCAAACCTAGGAGTCCAGCCCCCCAGCCCCTCTTCCCTCTGACCCAGGAGTCCAGGCCCCCAGCCCCTCCTCCCTCAAACCCAGGAGTCCAGGCCCCCAGCCCCTCTTCCCTCTGACCCAGGAGTCCAGCCCCCCAGCCCCTCCTCCCTCTGACCCAGGAGTCCAGACCCCCAGCCCCTCTTCCCTCTGACCCAGGAGTCCAGGCCCCCAGCCCCTCTTCCCTCTGACCCAGGAGTCCAGGCCCCCAGCCCCTCTTCCCTCTGACCCAGGAGTCCAGCCCCCCAGCCCCTCTTCCCTCTGACTCAGGAGTCCAGACCCCCAGCCCCTCTTCCCTCTGACCCAGGAGTCCAGCCCCCCAGCCCCTCTTCCCTCTGACCCAGGAGTCCAGCCCCCCAGCCCCTCTTCCCTCTGACCCAGGAGTCCAGCCCCCCAGCCCCTCTTCCCTCTGACCCAGGAGTCCAGCCCCCCAGCCCCTCTTCCCTCTGACCCAGGAGTCCAGCCCCCCAGCCCCTCTTCCCTCTGACCCAGGAGTCCAGGCCCCCAGCACCTCTTCCCTCTGACTCAGGAGTCCAGGCCCCCAGCCCCTCCTCCCTCAAACCTAGGAGTCCAGCCCCCCAGCCCCTCTTCCCTCTGACCCAGGAGTCCAGACCCCCAGCACCTCTTCCCTCTGACTCAGGAGTCCAGACCCCCAGCCCCTCCTCCTCCAAGACCCTGGATGCCAGGTCCTGTTTCTTTAGACCCAGTTCTATGGGCCTGGGGCTCCCTTGCCCCCCGCTCACCATAGATAGACTTGGCGCTTGGCTTTGGGGCAGCTTCTGGGCTGGTGAAGAAAAGAGGAATGAGAGAGACTGTGGGACTGGGGGCAGATCCTGTGGAAATGCCAAGCAGGGCAGCAAGGGCTTCATGACGAAGGTAATGGGGAGCGATGGAAGGGTTATTATTATTATTATTATTATTATTATTATTATTATTATTGAGCAGGAGAGCTCAGAGCCAGAGCTGGACTTTAAGAAGACAGGTAGGCTGGGCGCGGTGGCTCACGCCTGTAATCCCAGCACTTTGGGAGGCAGAGGTGGGCGGATCACAAAGTCAAGAGATTGAGACCATCTTGGCCAACATGGTGAAACCCTGTCTCTACTAAAAATACAAAAATTAGCTGGGTGTGGTGGTGGGCGCCTGTAGTGCCAGCTACGTGGGAGGCTGAGGCAGGAGAATCACTTGAACCTGGGAGGCGGAGGTTGCAGTGAGTCCAGATCGTGCCACTGCACTCCAGCCTGGCAGCAGAGTGAGACTCCATCTCAAAAAAAAAAAAAAAAAAAAAAAGACAGGTCAGGTCAGGCGGTGGTGCTGGGTGGTAGGGGAGTGTGATCTCTACCATGGCATAGTCCGGGATTCAAACCCTCTGTCTACTGCCTCCTTGCCATAAGACCTTCAGAAGAGGATTTAATCTCTCCTGCCTCAGTTTTTCTTTCTGTAACGTAGTAACCATCTGGTAGGGCTGTTGGGCAAATTCAGTCAGATGATGCAGGTGAAGTATTTTGAAGCCTCAATAACTGTTATTATCATTCTTAAGATGCTGCCAGGGCTTAGCACACAGAAGTTGCTCAATAAATGGGAATGGTTATAATAGCATTAGTGGTATCTGAAGTAGACAGGGAATTATCTGCTTCCCCTCCCACTCCCATGGGCCAGGTGCTTCCCAACCACATCCTTCTCTGTCTCCTCCCGTCCTCAATTTCTTCCTAAGATTACCTTTCCTAAGAATTCTTGAATCCCCACTTGCATGCACATAACAGAAGCTCAGCGATCAGGTGGCGTCAGGGGAACTGAAAAACCCTTTTTCCCAAACTCCTGTTCCTCATCCTGCTCCTGCCAGTCTGATGTCACCACAATTTGATTACCTCTGGGCCAGAGAGCTCACTACCTACCATGCAGGTATTTTGACTCATCTCTCATTGTTTTTCTCCCTGCTTACTCTGGGGGACTTGAGTCTTCATTATAAACAGCCCTGATTTTCTAGCAAAGGGTTAATATTTACTAACAACATAACAATCGCAATAGCGACTCCTATGAGTTGAGCACCTGCTGTCAGTGAGGTGGTCAGCTAAGTCCTGTAATGCACTATCCCTCCAATTTTTCAACATTGTCCCTGTGTCACAGAGGAGGGGCTGAGGCTCCAGGAGGTGATGTCCTCTGACCAGGGTTACATCAGCACTGAGTGTGAGGGCCGAACTGGAGCTCAGGCCTGTCTGCTCTGCAGTGGGGGCCCCTAACCCCAGGCTGGGCAGGGAGGAGAGAGGCTCTGGCTTCCTCCTGAGTGTCGGGGCTTGGGCCAGAGTCTGGGCCGCCGCAAACAGTCTGGGCTGCCGCAAGCGGGTGTGGGTGAGGAGGCGAGGGGAGGCGGGAGGCGTGCTGGGGCTGGGACCTGGGGTCCGGGGGCGCTTACCCTGTGGCGGTGCTCATGGTGCTGAGTGGTAGCTCCTGCCCACCTGGAGGTGCCCTGGGAGCCAGCAAACATGTGAAGGCCTGGCCAGTAGGAGCCTCTAATTCCTACCCCAGCCTCCTCCCTCAATGCAGGCATCCAGGCCCCAGCCCCTCCTCCCTCAGGCCCAGGAGTCCAGGCCCCCAGCCCCTCCTCCCTCAGACCCAGAAGTCCAGGCCCCAGTCCCTCTTCCCTAGACCCAGGAGTCCAGACCCCAGTCCCCTCCTCCCTCAGACCCAGGAGTCCAGACCCCAGTCCACTCCTCCCTCAGACCCAGGAGTCCAGGCCCCATCTCCTCCTCCCTCAGACCCAGGAGTCCAGGCCCTCAGCCCCTCCTCCCTCAGACCTAGGAGTCCAGGACCCCAGGCCCTCCTCCCTCAGACCCGGGAGTTCAGACCCCCAGCCCGTCCTCCCTGAGACCCTGGAGTCCAGACCCCAGTCCCCCCGTCCCTCAGACCCATTGGTCAAGCCCCGGCCCCCTTCTCTCCTGACCCGGATCTCCTTACCTGCCTGCTCAGGCTCTGCCCTGCTCTCCGCTGTCCTTTCCCTTCCAGGCTGCCGGCCCCTCCTCCTGCTCCCTCCCAGGGCCGTCCTGCCTCCGCCTCCGCCTCCGCATACCTGAGCATTCACCTGGCACAGCCTGGCTGGAGTGACCCCGGGGCGGGGCTGGCAGACAGATCTAGGAGGGGCTGGGGGGACTGCAGGGGAGCTGGGAAACTAACTGTCTGCCTTGTAGCAACAGAATAATAGCAACGAACAGTACATTTGATGTCACACTTGTTCACAGGTCAGAGTTGAAAGCTCTGTCTTTAAAACTCCCTTGAAATTCTAACAGCGGGAGGAAGTTCGAGGTTTGATTCCTGCTTGACAGATGAGGAAGCTGAAGGCCAGAGAGGTTGAGCAACTTGTCCATTTCAGCACTTGGTTAAGGAGGGATTTGAACCCGGGGCTGACCTTCTGTCTCCAGGGCCAGTGGCAGCCCGTCTTCTATGGACACCTCCTGCCCACGATCACTGCCTCTGCTCATGCCCTTACCTCCCCACCCATCCCGTTCCACCTTCCTTTGGAAATTTCCCTCAATGACCCCCCTATTCTGACAAAAGCTAAGATTTAGCTCGATAATGCCTGGCCCAGCTCCAAGGACATCACAAAAATGAACAGGCTTTCCAGGCATAAACACCTTTCTGAAATCACTTTTCCAGAACTCCCTCCATGCTGTAGAGGTTACTAGCAAAGCTTTCCACATCATTTCTCCCCAGAGCCCCGTGAGGGGAGTGTGTCTGGGTGGGAGGCTGTCTTCGTCTCACAGATGAGAAAATGAGGAAGAGAAGGGTTAAGAAACTTGCATGGGTACAGTGGCTCACATCTCTAATCCCAGCACTTTGGGAGGCCGAGGCAGGCAGATCACCTGAGGACAGGAGTTCGAGACCAGCCCAGCCAACATGGTGAAACCCCATCTGTACTAAAAACACAAAAATTATCCAGGTGTGGTGGCGGGTGCCTGTAATCCCAGCTACTCAGGAGGCTGAGGCAGGAAAATCACTTGAACCCGGGAGGCAGAGGTTGCGGCGAGCCGATAATTGCACCACTGCACTCCAGCCTAGGCAAGAGAGCGAGGCTCCATCTCAAAAAACAGAAAACAGGCCGGGCGCAGTGGCTCACACCTGTAATCCCAGCACTTTGGGAGGCCGAGGCGGGTGGAACACGAGGTCAGGAGATCGAGACCATCCTGGCTAACACGGTGAAACCCCGTCTCTACTAAAAATACAAACAATTAGCCGGGCGTGGTGGTGGGCACCTGTAGTCCCAGCTACTCGGGAGGCTGAGGCAGGAGAATGGCGTGAACCTGGAAGGCGGAGCTTGCAGTGAGCCGAGATTGCGCCATTGCACTCCAGCCTGGGCGACAGAGCGAGACTCTGTCTCAAAAAAGAAGAAAAAAAAAAAGCTGACATCTTGCAAGGCCTTAAGGGACGTGATTCTGATCTCATCTCTTCCTTCTGTGTGTCAGCACACTGGCCTCCTTGCTGCTCTTGGAACATCCAGACCCGGTCCTGCCTCAGGGCCTTTGCACTTGCTGTTTCCTCTGCCTGGAATGCTCTTCTACCAGATACCCTCATGCCTCACTTTCTTGCCTCCTTTGATCTTTGCCTGAATGTCACCTTCTCAGAGGACTGGCTGACCACCCTGTTTCAAATGGCGGCATCCCTTACTCGACTTCTTTTGTTTTTTTTGAGACAGAGTTTCACTCTTGTTGCCCAGGCTGGAGTGCAGTGGCGCAATCTTGGCTCACCGCAACCTCCGCCCCCCCAGGTTCAAGTGATTCTCCTGCCTCAGCCTCCTGAGTAGCTGGGACTACAGGCGCGCGCCACCACGCCCGGCTAATTTTGTACTTTTAGTAGAGACAGCATTTCACCATGTTGGCCAGGATGGTCTCGATCTCTTGACCTCGTGATCTGCCCGCCTCGGCCTCCCAAAGTGCTGGGATTATGGGTGTGAGCCACCGCCCCCGGCAACCCAACTTCTTTGTAGTCTCTTTCCTCTCTCCCTACTTCATTTTTGTGTGGAGAACTTTTCACCTTCTTACCCACTGTGTTCCTGGTTCATTTTGTCTGTGTCTCCTCCGTTAGAATGCAAGCTTCACAGGCTGGGCACGGTGGCACATGCCTGTAATCCCAGCACTTTGGGAGGCTGAGGCGGATTGATCACTTGAGGTTGGGAGTTCGAGACCAACCTGGCCAACATGGTGAAAGCACGTCTCTACTGAAAATATGAAAATTAGCCGGGGGTGGTGGTGTACACCTGTAATCCCAGCTTCTTGGGAGGCTGAGACAAGAAAATTGCTTGAACCCCGGAGGTGGAGGTTGCAGTCAGCCGAGATCACACCATGTCACCAACATGATAAAACCCCATTTCTACTAAAAAAAAAAAAATTAGCCAGAGTTGGTGGTGCACACCTGTAATCCCAGCTTCTTGGGAGACCAAGGCAAGAGAGTCACTTGAACCTGGGAGGTGGAGGTTGCAGTGAACCGAGATGATCGTGCCACTGCACTCCAGCCTGGGTGACAGAGCGAGACTCCATCTTAAAAAAAAAAAAAGCGGCCGGGTGTGGTGGCTCACGCCTGTAATCCCAGCACTTTGGGAGGCCGAGGCGTGTGGATCACGAGGTCAGGAGATTGAGACCATCCTGGCTAACATGGTGAAACCCCGTCTCTACTAAAAATACAAAACAATTAACCAGGCTTGGTGGTGGGTGCCTGTAGTCCCACCTACTCCGGAGGCTGAGGCAGGAGAATGGCGTGAACCCGGGAGGTGGAGATTGCAGTGAGCCAAGATTGCTCCACTGCACTCCAGCCTGGGTGACAGAGCAAGACTCCATCTCAAAAAAAAAAAAAAAAAAATGCAAGCTTCACAAGGGCAAAGATTTTTGTGTGATCAGTCCTCCACTTAATCTGCAGCACACAGAATTGGGTCTAGCACATAGAAAGTGTTGGAGAGATACTTGTTGAGTAAACGAGCTTTTGGCATTTGGTGCATTCATGTGCATTACTGCTTTGTTGCTTCATTCAAGATATGTTGCCTCCACGGTCTATGCTGAGTGAGCCTGGAAATCAGAGAAGGCACATTTTTGCCTTCGATTGATGGGGATGAAGGAACAGAGAGAAAGAGATATAGTGTGGTCTGATGGCAGAGAGCCTCGGGCAGGTGTGGGTCTGAATCCTGGCTTTGCCACTTGATAATTTTGGAGATACTTATTGTGTGCTTATATCTTCTCAGTACATCATAAATGTGTGTGTGTGTGTGTGTGTGTGTGTATGCATAATCCTCACCACATCCTATGGAATGGGTCCTATTATCCCCATTTTTTTTCTTAATTGAGACAAGGTCTAGTTCTGTGGCCCAGGCTAGAATGCAGTGTCATAATCACAGCTCACTGCAGTCTCGACCTACTGGGGTGATCCTCCCATCTCAGACTATATATAAATATATATACACATATATATAGTAGAGTCTCCTTATGTTGCCCAGGCTGGTCTCCAACTCCTGGGCTCATGTGATACTCCTGCCTTATCCTCCCGAAGTGCTGGGATGACAGGCATGAGCCACCCACCACACCCAGCTTATTGGGAGGATAAAGTCAGGTTATAGAGAGTTGTCAATACAGTACCTGGCAAAGAGGAAACGCAAGGCTGGTGTTAGCAATGGCGAGGACGATGGCCTTTCTTCCCATGCGTGCTGCAAGGGAGGACACGAGGGGCTCTGCCAAGGCCAGGAGAGGCTGCTGAGGGTCAGGACAGGCTGCCTGGAGGAGGAGGACAGGCTGCCTGGAGGAGGAGGGCAGGCCAGGAATCACCTTGAAGGATGAGTTTGACAGCCAGTGTCAATCCTAGAAGATAGGGGTGTTCTGGGCCCTGCAACTGCCTGAGTGAAGGATGGGGGCTGCAGGGGTGGCCAGCGGGGCTAGACTGTGAGCTCCTGGCTACCCAGCAGGTGGTCCTGGTGCGTGTAGCAGCGGGTGGGGGAGGTAGGGGTGGAAGGAGGGCCCTTACGCTTCTCTTTCTTTGGCTTCTGCAATTCTGTGTTCTCATCACATTCATGCCACAAGTATTTTCTGTGCTTGACTGTACCTGAGTTGGGGTTTGAGGGAAGGAGCAGACCCCTTGCCCCATTGACAGGAGAAAACAGAGGCTCAGAGAGGGAAGTCAGTAGCCTAAGGTTACAGTGGCCCTGGGCTGTGACACAGATGCAGATCTGACTGGGCCTGGGCTCATTTCTTCATGAACAAGGGGAGAAAACTATCTCATAGAAGCATTTGGTATGGGTCCGAGGCCTTTGGGTCTGAGGGAGGAGGGGCTGGGGTCTGGACTCTTGGGTCTGAGGGAGGAGGGGCTGGGGGCCTGGACTCCTGGGTCTGAGGGAGGAGGGGCTATCTCATTGCTTTGGGGGTGGCGCAGGCGGCCCTCCAGGCCATGGTCTGGAGCAGCAGGTGAGACCGAAACCCGAGCCTCCACCCAAGTCCCAAGTCCCAGGGCCCAGGGCCTCTTTCCTCCTTCTCTGGCCGCAAAGGAGGCCCCTCCCTCTCTGTAACCCACAGCAAATGCCTCCCAAATACCAGTCAAAGTGTCCACCCCTGCACAGTCTGACTCAGCCAGTCCAGGGCGGAGGCAGTAAAGCCCTGTCTTGGCAAGTCACCAGGGAAATCCATCACCGAAGCACCTCTCTCCCCCCTCGGCCTGGCTATTCTGTCATTGGCACCTGTTCTTGGGTGAGTGACAGGGCTCTGTGGTCAGGGTTTGCCTCTGTCCCAGTCTGGGATAGCTGTCTTGGGGGGCTGGCCTTTCTTCCCTCTCACCTGGGATGTCCCAGGAACGGAACAGAATTCTCCCCTGGGGCTTGAAGAGCTCACCCCCCATCTCCTCCGTTATCCCCACCCCCACACCACCCAACACACATCCTCTAGTCTGTAGGATTTGCTGACAAATTCCTATGACAGCCGGATGTGGTGCCTCACACCTGTTACCCAGCATTTTGGGAGGCCATCACTTGAGATCAGGAGTTCGAGACCAGCTTAGCCAACATGGTGAAACCCCATCTCTACAAAAGTAGCTGGGTGTGGTGGCGTGCGCTTGTAGTCCCAGCTACTAGGGAGACTGAGGCAGGAGAATCACTTGAACCCGGGAGGCAGAGGTTGCAGCGAGCCATTGCGCCATGCACTCCAGGCTGGGTGACTGACTGAGATTCTGACTCAAAAAAAAAAAAAAATCCTATGACAAGGAGAAAGGTCAGATTCCCTGGCAATGGGAGCTGAGGCATGTTCTTGAGAAGGAGGGAGGTTATAAATTAGATGGGGCTGGGTCTCAGAGAGATATAGCTACTTACATATTAAATAATGAGGCTGAGTGTGGCGTCTCACACCTATAGTCCCAGTACTTTGGGAAGCAGAGGCAGGAGGATCCCTTGAGCCTAGGAGTTTGAAACCAGCCTGGGCAACATAGGGAGATTCCATCCCTACCAAAAAAAAAATTAAAAATTAGCCAGGCATAGTGGCCTGCATCTGTGGTCCTAGCTGCTTGGGAGGCTGAGGTGGGAGGATTGCTTGAACCTGGGAGGTCAAGGTACAGTGAGCCACGATTGCACCACTGCACTCCAGCCTGGGTGACAGAGCAAGACCTTGTCTCAAAAAAAGTAATTAATTTATTTATTCAATACGTAGCTCCTGAGACAAAATGTGTGCCGTACTCTAGACCCTGCTGGTGTGCACAATTCATGGGGGATATGTGCGCTAATGGAAGTGTGGCACAGGGCAAGGGTGTCCCCAGAGAAAGCCCTAATCCAGCTTTATGGGTGGTTGTATGAGGCACAGAAGCCTTTCCTGGTTAAGGGATAAATGGATGGGGTTTCAAAGGATGAATAGGAGTTTGCCAAGGACAATGAAGCAAAGATTGACATTCTAAGCATTGGGAGTGTCCTATGCAAAATCCCAAAGTGATGTAGTAGCAAATACTTAAGCACCTACAGTGTGCCAAGCATGTTTCATGTGCTGGAGATACAGAGGAGGAGGAGACAGATGAAACCCCAGCCCTTGTGATATTGTCATCCTAGTAGGTGTGGTGGGGAGATAAACAAGTAGACACCTGCATGAATAAGACTTTCAGATTGTGGTAAACCCTGTGGAGGAAACGAAACAGGTGAAGGAACGGCGTGACTAGGAGCAGGCAGGTGCGGCTGCTTCAGGTAGGGTGGTCAGGGAAGGAGGCGGCATCTGAGCTTTGACCTCAATTTCGAGAATGAGCCAGGAATGCAGAGAGGATTTCAGGCAGAGGAAACCTTAGGGAGGCTGGCGGGTTAAATCTGCAGGGGTGTGGCTGGCCGGAGGAAGTGAGGTGTGAGACAGTCACGTTGATGGTGACAGCAGCAGTGACCGTAGCAGCCTAGAGGTGGCCGAATGCTTACTCTAATGGGCTGGCCCATCCCTGAGTGTCTAGAGTTCCCAGCCCGCTTAAGGAAGGAAGGAAAACACAGGCAGCTCTAAGTGTACGACGAGGGAGGTCTCATCGGCGGTGAGGAAGCCCAGGCGGGTCCCCTTCCCAGCTGAAAGGGGTTCGGGTAGGTTTTTCCTGGGCGTTCCTCTGAGAACAGCCAGCCCTGGTGAGAGTGCGGGGAGAGGCGCTTATGACACAGGGAGGGTGGGTCTGGGAACCAGCCTGGCAGGAGGAGGAGGGAGACTGCCGGTGGCCGGGAGCTGTTTGTTCTCTGGGAGGGATCGTGGCGGGGTGGTTTGTGCAGCCCTTTCCTGAAACCGGAGGAGCCTGGCTCCTTCCCAGGTCTCTGGGGGATGGGTCGGGGCGGGGGGTGGTGACGGGGATAGGACCCCAGACAGACTTGAGTTTGGATCCTGGGTTGGAGCCGGTGACTTCACTCTCAGCTCCCTGAACATCAGGGCCTGCCTTTCTTCCCTCCCTTCCCCTCCCCTCCCCTCCCCTTCCTTCCTTCCTTCCTTCCTTCCTTCCTTCCTTCCTTCCTTCCTTCCCTTCCTTTCCCTTCCCTCCCTCCCTTTATTCTTTTCTTTTTTTCTTTTCTTTTCTTTCTTTCTTGACAGAGTCTTGCTCTGTCGCCCAGGCTGGAGTGCAGTGGCGCGATCTCGGCTCACTGCAAGCTCCGCCTCCCGGGTTCACGCCATTCTCCTGCCTCAGCCTCCCGAGTAGCTGGGACTACAGGCACCCGCCACCGTGCCTGGCTAATTTTTTTGTATTTTTAATAGAGACGGGGTTTCACTGTGTTAGCCAGGATGGTCTCGATCTCCTGACCTCGTGATCTGCATGCCTCGGCCTCCCAAAGTGCTGGGATTACAGGCCTGAGCCACAGTGCCCGGCCTCCTCTTTCTTTTTTTGAGACAGAATCTCACTCTGTCACCCAGGCTGGAGTGCAGAGGTGTGGTCTCGGCTCACTGCAACTTCCGCCTCCCAGGCTCAAGCGATTCTCCTGCCTCAGCCTTCCGAGTAGCTGGGACTACAGGCGCGTGCCACCATGCCCAGCTAATTTTTTGGTACTTGTAGTAGAGACAGGGTTTCACCATGTTGGCCAGGCTGGTTTCAAACCCCTAATCTCCAGTGATCTGCCTGCCTTGGCCTCTCAAAGTGCTGGGATTAAAGGCGTGAGCTACCGTGCCAGGCCGTGGAGTAGCTAAACTTATCTTACACTGCTGAGGTCTCTCAAGATGTGTGTAGGGAGAGAGAGTTGGGGGGAGAGAGAGAGACAAAGGAAAAGAGGAAGAGAGAGACAGGGAGAAAGAGAGGAAGAAAGAGAAAGAGAGAAACAGGAAGAGTGAGAGGAGAAAGAGAGGAAGGGGGAGAGAAAGAGAGATGGGGGAGAAAGAGAGAGAGAGAAGGAGACACAGGAGGGGGAGAGAAAGAGGGAGAGAGCAATGAGAGAGATATGAGACAGAGAAGAGAGAGAGAGGAGACACGGAGGAGGGGGACAGAAAGAGGGAGACAGAGAGATGAGAGAGAGAAAAGACACAGATGAGGGGGAGAGAAAGAGGGAGAGAGAGATGAGAGAGAGATTGATAGCACCCAGCTAATCAATCAGTGGCTTTAGTGCCATGAGCTGGAAGGGAGGAATGGATACTGGGGAACAGTTGGTTGACTTTCCCTGGTGGGACAGCCCCTCTTTCTAGAACTACCTTTCCTATGTCCCCTGTGCTTCTCTCCAGTCCATACTCTACATCTCAGCCAGAAAAGAAGAAATTCTAAAACATGTATCTGCCCGTGACATGACCCTCCTTGGCTCAACACTCTTCAGCGGTACCCAGCGCCCTCTGAGTCAACGCCAAGCTTCCTACCATGGCATTGGAGCCGCGCTCTGGGTCCTTTTACTGATGGCTCCCGCCTCAGCCCTTCCACCCCCTCCCATACCCTGCATGCCAGCCCAGGCAGCCCTCCCTCCTCCCACAATATCTCTCATATGCATTCCTGTCCCATGCCTTCTGCTTAAGCTGTTCCCACAGCCCGGAGTCTCCTCCCTGGCTGAGGGAAATCTTGCCGGCTCACATGGCCGTGATCCCCATCATTTCCTGCAGAAAGCTTGCCCAGCTCTCCGACACGGGGACCTTCTGCCCCTCCTGAGCCCTGAGTCCCCTCCATCTTAACTGGGAGGTCACCTGTTTGCGTGGTGTCTGCTCAGCTTGCAGGCAAGGCCACCAACACCCTCCTTTCCTGTCTTTCCTTCCTACCATCCTCTCCTGTCCACCCTCTGCCTCTCCCTCCCTTCTTCTCTTCTTTCCTTCTAGTTACTGAGCCATGCATGTGTTGCATGCAGCAAGGATGAATAAAATAAAATAAACCTACAGCAATCATTCCAGTTACTATGGCCATATAACAAATTATTCTAAAACTCAGTGGCTTCAGACAAGGATCATATCTATTTTACTCAAAAACCTACCATCTGCACAGGCCTTGGTGGAGGCAGCTTATCTGTGTGCCCTTTGGTGATGGCTGGGGCTGTCAAGAAGCTGGGGCAGTGCTTGGGCTGCAAAGACTCAAATGGCTGGAGTCTGGGACCACTGGAGCTCCTTGCCCCCCTTTGCTTATCTCTACACAGCCACAGGGTCGCTAAACTTACCTTACACTGCTGAGGCCTCTTAAGATGTGTGTAGGGAAAGAGAGTTGGGGGGAGAGGGAGAGAGAGAACAGAGAGAGAGAGACACACACAAGAAGAGAGAGAGGAAGAAAGAAGGAGAGAGAGGAAGAGGAAGGGAGAGGAAGAGAGAGAGAAAGAGAAAGAGGGAGAGAGAGAGGAGAGAAAGAGACAAGAAGAGAGGAAGAAAAAAGAGGAAGAGAGGGATAGAGGAAGACAGAAGGAGGGAGAGGGAGAGAGGAAGAGAGAGGAAAGAGAAAGGAAGGGAAAGAGAGATGTGAGAGAGAGGGAGAGAGAGAGAGAAAAGAGGACAGAGGAAGAGAGAGAGGAAGAGAGAGGGAGAGAGAGGGAGAGAAGACAGAGAGGGAGAGAGGAAGAGAAAAGGAGACAGAGAGAGGAGAGATAGAGAAGAACGAGAAAGGAGAGACAGAATGTGAATGAGAATTGGGTGCCATAAACCCTCTGATGGGGAAAGCAAAGGGCATTGTGGGAGAATCCTCTCAGCACCTGGGACAGCACCCAGTGCTGATCAGGAACATGTTAACAACCAGGAAAATGGTAAAGGCGTGGACAGCCCACCTGGAGTCCAAACAGATGTTCTAACTCCCTTGGGTGTGTCTGGGAATCAGGTAGGAGATCCTCAGAGGAGGAATATGCATGCATTGTTCTCTTTATAATAACCATATTAACAGCCAGCAATGTTCTGGCACTTACTATGGATTAAGTCCTTGTTATGAATGACTTCATGCCATCCTTCCAAATTCAATGACAGGTAGCTGGGCGCAGTGGCTCACGCTTTGTAATCCCAGCACTTTGGGAGGCTGAGGCAGGTGGATCACCTGAAGCCTGGAGTTCAAAACCAGCCTGGCCAACATGGTGAAACCCCGTCTCTACTAAAAATACAAAAATCAGCCAGGTGTGGCGGCGAGCGCCTGTAATCCCAGCTACTCATGAGGCTGAGGCAGGAGAATCGCTTGAACCCAGGAGGCAGAGGTTGCAGTGAGCTGAGATTGCATCACTGCGCTCCAGCCTGGGCATCGGAGAGAGACTCTCAAACAGGAGCTGGCGAACTGTGGCGCACTGCTTATTTTTATAAATAAAGTTTTATGGGAACACAGCTGTGCTCACTTGTTTTCACATCATCTGTGGCTGCTTCCCAGCTCCTCTGGCAGAGGAGGTGCAACAGCCACTGTGTGGATCACAAAGCTGAAATTATTTACTATCTGGCTGTTTGTAGAAAAAGTTTGCTGATCTCTGTCCTGGAAGTCAATGATATTAGGATTTCAGTTTACAGAAAAGGAGAAAAAGACAGGGAAAAACAGTGTTGTTTTTTTTTCAAGGTTGAGAAAATGAACATCTGAACCAATTGCCCATGTTATTAAATGTAAACATTTATTATTATTATTTTTGAGATGGGGTCTTGCTCTGTCACCCAGCCTGGGGTGCAGTGGCACAATCACAGCTCATCATAGCCTTGACCTCCTGGGCTCAAGCAGACCTCCCACCTCAGCCTCCCAAGTAGCTGAGGGTGCAGATGCGTGCCACCAAACCTGCTAATTTTTGTATTTTTTGTAGAGATAAGGTTTTGCCGTGTTGTCCAGGCCGCTCTCAAACTCCTGGGCTCATACTATTCTCCACTTTGGCCTCCCAAAGTGCTGGGATTACAGGCATGAGCCACCATGCCCAGTCTAAAATTTTTCTTTATTTTTAGTTTGGTAAACTATGCATAAAGTAAAATGTACCATCTTAACCATTTTAAGTGTACAATTCAGTGATGTTAAGTATATTCACATTGTTGTGCAACCATCACCACCGTCCACCTTCAGGTCTTTTTTTTATTTTGCAAAACAAACTCTGTATCTATTAAAAAACAGCTTCCCGGCCGGGTGCGGTGGCTCATGCCTGTAATCCCAGCACTTTGGGTGGCCGAGGCAGGTGGATCACCTGAGGTCAGGAGTTTGAGACCAACCTGGCCAACATGGTGAAACCCCGTCTCTACTAAAAATACAAAAATTAGCCGGGTGTGGTGACACGTGCCTGTAGCCCCAGCTACTCGGGAGGCTGAGGCAGGAGAATCGCTTGAACCTAGGAGGCAGAGGTTGCAGTGAGCTGAGATCGCCCACTGCTCTCCAGCCTGGGTGACACAGTGAGACTGTCTCTCAAAAAACAAAACAAAACAAACAAACAAACAAAAACAAATCCTGTGACTTCCCAATCTCATCTCCAGCCCCCTGCAGCCACCACTCTGTTTTCTGTCTCTATGAATTTGACTCCTCCAAGTGCCTCTTATACAGCATTTGGCATTGTGTAACTGGTTTAATACGTTTGAGATGGTGAGAGCTTAAGGTCTACAGGCCTAAGGTTTTTTTTTTTTTGACAGAATTTCACTCTGTCGCCAGGCTGGAATGCAGTAGGGCAATCTCGGCTCACTGCAACCTCCACCTCCCGAGTTCAAGTGATGCTCCTGCTTCGGCCTCCTGAGTAGCTGGGACTACAGGTGAGTGCCACCACATCCAGCTAATTTTTGTATTTTTAGTAGAGACAGGGTTTCACCATGTTGGCCAGGCTGGTATCAATCTCCTGACCTCGTGATCCATCTGTCTCGGCCTCCCAAAGTGCTGGGATTACAGGCGTGAGCCACCGTGCCCGGCCATTGACTAAGGTCTTAAAATAGCTCTTCCTGCCTGTATAATCTCCATTATGGCAGGGCTCATATAAGAAGATGACAGTTCATCTGATGAGGAAGAAAACTTACTCCTAGTTAGATTGGGTTGAATTCTTCCCTGTTTCCAGCGGTGTCTGCTCCTGGCACCTCAGGCACAGTCAGGGGTAGGAGGTGGTGATCAGATACACTCGCTGTGAGCAGTGCAAGGGGAAGCAGGTGCCCAGAGGTGCATCCCGGTTTGGTGGGGGTGACAAACATGGACAGGTAAGTGCAGGAGTGTGTGCAATACTCAATCTAAGAAAGGTAGTTCAGGCAGAGTTCAGGGAAGATATCTCTGTGCAGGGCCAGACATGGGGATGAGATTCTGATAATTTGGGAATGAATCAGGCCCCCAGCCCCTCCTCCCTCAGACTCAGCAGTCCAGGCACCCGGCCCTCCTCCCTCGGACCCAGAAGTCCATGCTCCCAGCCCCTCCTCCCTTGGACCCAGGAGTCCAGGCCCCCAGCCCCTCCTCCCTCAGACCCAGGAGTCCAGGCCCCCAGCCGCCTTCTCCTGCAGGACCCCAGGAGCTTGGGTACCCACAGGCTACTAGATCCTTGTTTCTGTGCATGGAAATTCTCAAATTATCTCCAAAAGTCTATGAAGAAGGTAAACACACATTTCCAGATGAGGGAATAGGCTGATATAGTTGAAAGACACACAGAGGGTCACAGTCTGGAATTGACAGTGGTGGGATTCGAACCTATTTCACTCCAGAACTGCGTAGCGCCTTATACGCTGCGGCAAGTGTGACGTCATTCGAACAAACCATAGGCCCCGCCCCCGGACTAGCCACGCCCACAGGCTCCTGAAACCACCAATCCCAGCTGTGACAGCGCTCAGGACCGATGCTCATAGGTCCCGTCCCTAGGATCCCCGCCCCCTCCGCCCGCGCCCCGCCCCTCGCAGCCCAGTTCCGGACGCGGGCCCAGCCGCGCCTGCGCCTCCGCTCGCCTGTGGCTGCGTCGCGCGCTCTTCCTCGGAGCTACCCAGGCGGCTGGTGTGCAGCAAGCTCCGCGCCGACCCCTGACGCCTGACGCCTGTCCCCGGCCCGGCATGAGCCGCTACCTGCTGCCGCTGTCGGCGCTGGGCACGGTAGCAGGCGCCGCCGTGCTGCTCAAGTGAGTACATTCTAGCCCCGCGTGCGCGGTCAAGGCGGGCCCCCAGCGCAGGGGCCGGGAAGGCGGCGGAGACCCCCGCCCCTCGCACCCGGGTCCAGGCCCCGTAGCTCCCGACCCGCAGTGCCCGCCCGGAGTGGGGCAAACCTGCGCTCTGGCCGGCCAGGTCACCGGCCCAAGGTCACTCGGAGGGAAGGGCGAGCCTGGGCCCTTGTAAATGTTGCTTTCCTTCCAGACTTTTAAACTCTTTATTTTGTTGTTTTGTATTATTTATTTGTTCGTTTATTTTTAAAGGCAGAATCTGGCTCTGTCGCCCAGGCTGGAGTGCAGTGGCGCGATCTTGGCTCACTGCAGCCTTGACCTCCTGGGCTCAGGTGATCCTCCCACCTTGGCGTCCCCAGGAGCTGAGATCACACGTGCGCCACCACGCCCGGCTAATTTTTGTATTTTTCGCAGAGACGGGGTTTTGCCATGTTGGCCAGGCTGGTCTCAAACACCTGCCCTCAGGTGATCCGCCTGCCTCGGCCTCCAAAGTGCTGGGATTACAGACGTGAGCCACCTCGCCCAGCCTACTTAATTTAAACTTTCTTAAAAATTAGCCTCTGTGGCTGGTGGCCACTGTATTGCATGGTGCCCTTCTCTCCTGTGGGTGCAGTGCTGTTTACCTGCTCAGCCTCCTGTTGCTGGACACTATCTTGTTGCCAGCGTTAGCCTCTGTGGGACATGGGTGTGGTGGGCAGAGTCGTGACTCCGTAGAGGGGTCCACGTCCTAATCCTCGGAAGGTGTGACGACATTACCTCACGTGTCAGAGGTTCTCGCTGATGTGTTAAGTGAAGCATCTTTTTTTTTTTTGAGACAGAGTTTCGCTGTTGTTGCCCAGGCTGGAGTGCAATGGCACGACCTCGGCTCACCACAACCTCCACCTCCCGGGTTCAAGCGATTGTCCGGCCTCAGCCTCCTGAGTAGCTGGGATTACAGGCATGTGCCACCACGCCTGTCTAATTTTGTATTTTTAGTAGAGACGAGGTTTCTCCATGTTGGTCAGGCTGGTCTTGAGCTCCCGACCAAAGGGGATCTGGCCACCTTGGCCTCCCAAAGTGCTGGGGTTACAGGCGTGAGCCACCGTGCCCGGCCAAGTGAAGGATCTTATGATTATCATGTAGTCTTTTTTTTTTTTTGGAGACAGGGTCTCTCTGTCACCCAGGCTGGAGTGCAGTCATGCTGTCACAGCTCACTGCAGCCTCACCCTCCCTGGGCTCAGGTGGTCCTCCCACTTCAGCCTCCCGAGTAGCTGACTCTACAGGCGTGCACCACCAAGCCCTGCTAATTTTTGTATTTTTAGTAGAGATGGGGTGTCAGCATGTTGGCCATGGCTGGTCTCGAACTCCTGACCTCAAGTGATCCTCCTGTCTTGGCCTCCCAAAGTGCTGGGATTACAGGTGTGAGGCACTGTGCCGGTCCTGCCTTGTAGTCTTATAGGGTCCTTATAAGAGGGAGCAGGAGGCTCAGTCAGAGGGGAGATGGAAGATAGAAGGAGAGGTTGTTGGGTGTGGTGGCTCACGCCTGTAATCGCAGCACTTTGGGAGGCCAAGGCAGGCGGATCACAAGGTCAGGAGTTCGAGACCAGCCTGACCAACGTGGTAAAACTCTGTCTCTACTAAAAATACAAAAGAAATTAGCCAGGTGTGGTGGCATGTGCCTGTAATCCCAGCCACTCAGGAGGCTAAGGCAGGAGAATCGCTTGAACCTGTGAGGCGAAGGTTACAGTGAGCTGAGATTGAGCCACTGCACTCCAGCCTGGGCGACAGAGCGAGACTCTGTCTCAAAAATAAATAAGTAAATAAATAAATAAATAAAGGAGAGGTTCCAGTGAGGATGCAGGTTGAAGATGGAGGCGGGGCCAAGAGTGGAGGAATGTGGCGGTCTGTAGGAGCTGGAAGTGGATTCTTCCCTAGAGCCTCCAGAAGGAACCTGACTCTACCAATACCTTGATTTATTCCAGTGAGACATGTTTTGGACTCTTGACCTGCCGAACTGGAGGAGGATGCACTTATGTGGTTTTAAGCCACTAAGTCTGTGGTAATGCGTACAGCAGCCTTGGGAATCTCGTGCAGCGGGCATTTTAAATTTAAATTTAAATTTTTTTGAGACAGAGTCTCGCTCTGTTGCCCAGGCTGGCACCATTTCGACTCACTGCAACCTCCGCCTTCCAGGTTCAAGCAATTCTCGTGCCTCAGCCCCCTGAGTAGCTGAGATTACAGGTGTGCACCACCACGCCTGTGAAGGGGTGGCCTGCCCCTCCACACCTGTGGGTATTTCTAGTTGGGTGGGACGAGAGACTGAGAAAAGAAATAAGACACAAAGTATAGAGAAACAACAGTGGGCCCAGGGGACCGGCGCTCAGCATACCAAGGACCTGCACCGGCACCGGCCTCTGAGTTCCCTCAGTTTTTACTGATTATTATCTTCATTATTTCAGCAAAAAGGAATGTAGTAGGAGAGCAGGGTGATAATGAGGTCAGCAAAAACCATGTGAGCAAAAGAATCTATGACATAATTAAGTTCAAGGGAAGGTACTATGCCTGGACGTGCACGTAGGCCAGATTGATGTTTCTCTCCACCCAAACATCTCAGCGGAGTAAAGAATAACAAGGCAGCATTGCTGTAAACATGTCTCGCCTCCCGCCATAGGGCGGCTTTTCTCCTGTCTCAGAATTGAACAAATGTACAATCAGGTTTTATACCGAGACATTCAGTTCCCAGGGTCAGGCAGGAGACAGTGGCCTTCCTCTCTCTCAACTGCAAGAGGCTTTCCTCTTTTACCAATCCACCTCAGCACAGACCCTTTACGGGTGTTGGGCTGGGGGACGGTCAGGTCTTTCTCATCCCACGAGGCCATATTTCAGACTATCCCACGGGGAGAAACCTTGGACAATACTCTGTGTTCAAGGGCAGAGGTCCCTGCAGCTTTCTGCAGTGCATCGTGCCCCTGGTTTATTGAGACTAGAGACTGGCGATGACTTTTACCAAGTATACTGCTTGGAAACATTGTGTTAACAAGGCACTTCCTGCACAGCCCTAGATCCCTTAAACCTTGATTTCATACAACACAGGTTTTTGTGAGCTCCAGATTGGGTCAAAGTGGCTGGGTCAAAGCTACAAATTAACAACATCTCAGCAAAGCAATTGTTCAAAGTACAGGTCTTTTTCAAAATGGAGTCTCTTATGTCTTTCCTTTCTATATAGACACAGTAACAGTCTAATCTCTCTTTTCCCTACACATCTGGCTAATTTTTGTATTTTAAGTAGAGACGGGGTCTCGCCATGTTTGCCAGGCTGGACTCGAACTCCTGACCTCAAGTGATCCGCCCCCGCCCCCCCCCACCCCCAAAACTTTGGCCTCCCAAAGTGCTGGGATTACAGGTGCAAGCCCCCTCACCTGGCCGGGAATCTCATGCAGTGAGCATTTATAAAATAATGACTGTCACTTGCTGAAGGCGTTCCACACGCCAGACACTGGGTGGAGCCACTTATGGAGAACATGACAGAGGTCCCTTGGTGTGATGTGATGATGTCTGTGTTTCAGTTGGGGTATGTGAGTGAGCTCAGACAAGGTTGCCTGAGATCATTCAGTCAGGGGCACGTGGGGTGAGAGTGGGCCCACAGGACTGACCGTGCCGCTTCTCACCCTCAGGGACTATGTCACCGGTGGGGCTTGCCCCAGCAAGGCCACCATCCCTGGGAAGACGGTCATCGTGACGGGTGCCAACACAGGCATCGGGAAGCAGACCGCCTTGGAACTGGCCAGGAGAGGTAAAATCTCCCCTGCTTTGGCTCTCAGAGAGATATCTGTACATCCATGCTCACTGCAGCATTATTCACAGTCCGGAGGTGGAAGGAACCCAGGCACCCATCCACAGATGAACAGGGAAACAGAATGTGGCTTCTATAGACAGGGGCATATGATTCAGCCTTAAAAAGGAAGGGCATTCTGGCCGGGCGCGGTGGTGCACGCCTGTAATCAGTACTTTGGGAGGCCAAAGCTGGCGGATCACGAGGTCAGGAGTTCGAGACCAGCCTAACCAACATGGTGAAACCCCCTCTCTACTAAAAATACAAAAATTAGCCAGGAGTTGTGGTGGGCACCTGTAGTCCCAGCTGCTTGGGAGGCTGAAGCAGGAGAATCGCTTGAACCTGAGAGGCAGGGGTTGCAGTGAGCAGAGATGGCGCCACGGCACTCCAGCCTGGGTGACAGAGTGAGACTCAAAAACAAAACAAAACAAAGCAAAACAAAAAAAAGGGCATTGAAACAGATGAACCTTGAGGACATTCCATGAAGTGAAATAAGCCAGTCGACAGAAGAGCAAATACGGTATGATTCCACTTACAGGAGCTACCTACAGTTAAATTCATAGAGAAGTTGGAATGGTGCTTGCCAGGGGTCAGGAGGGGAGGGGAGAATGGGGAGTTACTGTTTAATGGAAACGGAAGTTTAGTTTGGCAAGATGAAACAATTTGAGAGATGGATGGTTGTAATGGTTGCACAACATTAGGAATTATTATTATTGTTTTTTTTTTTTTGAGATGGAGTTTTGCTCTTGTCGCCCAGGCTGGAGTGCAGTGGCATGATCTTGGCTCACTGCAACCTTCGCCTCCCGGGTTCAAGCAATTCTCCTGCCTCAGCCACCCGAGTAGCTGGGATTACAGGCATGCAACACCACACCCAGCTAAGTTTGTAATGTGTTGGCCAGGCTGGTCTTGAACTCCTGACCTCAGGTGATCCACCTGCCTTGGTCTCCCAAAGTGCTGGGATTACAGGTGTGAGCCACCATGCCCGGCCCAGCCATAAATGTTTTTAATACCAATGAACTGGACACTTAAAAATGGCTAAGAGGGCGGGTCTCGGTGGCTCACATCTATAATTCCAGCACTTTTGGAGGCTGAGGCAGGAGGATCACTTGAGGCCAGGGGTTCCAGACCAGCCTGGACACCATAGCAACACCCCCATCTCTACCAGAGTTAGCCAGGCATGCTGGCACAGGTGGTACCTATAGTCCCAGGTCACTTGAGCCTAGGAGTTCAAGGCTGAATGAGCTGTGATGGCGCCAGCACTCCAGCCGCGGCAGCAGAGTGAGACTGACTCAAAAAAAAAAAAATAATAATAAACAAAAAGAAAAGGGGGTTAAGATGATAAATTTTAAGTGATTTGTATTTTACCACAACAAAAAAAATTGGAGGCTGGGCATTGTGGCTTATTTGTAATCCCAGTACTTTGGGAGGCCGCGGGGTGGATCACCTGAGGTCAGAAGTTCAAGACTAGCTTGGCTAACATGGTGAAACCGCTGTCTCTACTAAAAATAAAAAAATAAAAAATTAGCTAGTTGTGGTAGGTGCCTGTAATCCCAGCTACTCGGGAGGCTGAGGCAGGAGAATTGCTTGAACCCAGGAGGTGGAGGTTGCAGTGAGCCGAGATTGCGCCACCGCACTCCAGCCTGGGTGACAGAGTGAGACTCCATCTAAAAAAAAAAAAAAAAGGAGAGGATGGGGAATCCTCTTGCCTTGGCCTCCCAAAGTGCTGGAATTACAGGTGTGAGCCACCGTGCCCGACCAATTCAGTGATGTTTAGTATAGTCACAGAATGATGCAACCATCTTTAAAATCAATCTTAGAACATCTGTTACCCTAGAAAGAAACCTGCTCACTGTAACTATCAAGCTGTAATTCCCTCTCCCCACCCCCTGCCCTAGAAAACCAAGAATCTATTTTCTTTCTCTATGGATTTGCCTATTCTGGGCGTTTCATAGGTGTGAAATCATATACATAGAATTCATGTAAATGGGATTGTACGCTGTGTGGTCTTTCGTGTCTGGTTTCTTTCCCCGAGCACAGTGTTTCTGACGGTCATCCTTGCTGTAGCATGAGCCAGTGCTTCACTCCTTTTCACGGCCGTCTAATATTCCATCTCTATGGATGGACCACATTTTGTTGTCCCTTCATCCACAGATGGGCATTTGGTTGTTTCTACCTTTTGGCTTTTGTGAAGAATGCCGCAGTGAACATTGGTGGATGTGTTTTTGTGTAGACGTATGTTTTCATGTCTCTGGGGTCAGTACCCAGGAGTGGATTATTAATTTAAATCTTTTTCCATCCTGGGTTTTCAGGAGGCAACATCATCCTGGCCTGCCGAGACATGGAGAAGTGTGAGGCGGCAGCAAAGGACATCCGCGGGGAGACCCTCAATCACCATGTCAACGCCCGGCACCTGGACTTGGCTTCCCTCAAGTCTATCCGAGAGTTTGCAGCAAAGATCATTGAAGGTAGGAGAACGCTGGCCATGTGGGATGAGGACTGGGATAGGCGGCTCCCAGGGCCAGGCTCTGAGAAGTGAATGAAGCAAGCAAACTTTAGAGCAGAGTTTTGGCAAACTATGAGTTAGGGGCCAAGTCCAGTTGCTGCCTTTTTTTGTACAGCCTGCAAGCAACGACTTTATTTATTTATTACTACTGTTATTTTGAGAGGGAGTCTCACTCTGTCGGCCAGGCTGAGTGCAATGGCGCGATCTCGGCTCACTGTAACCTCTGCCTCCTGGGTTCAAGCGCGGACCTCAGCCTCCTGAGTAGCTGGGATTAAGATGCCTGCTACCATACCCTGCTAATTTTTGTATTTTTAGTAGAGACGGGGTTTCACCACGTTGGCCAGGCTGGTCTGGAACTCCTGACCTCAGGTGATTCTCCTGCCTCAGCCTCCCAGAGTGCTGGGATTACAGGCGTGGGCCACTGCGCCCGGCTGACTTTGTTTTGTTTGTTTGTTTTGAGACAGATGGGGTCTCGCTCTGTTGCCCAGGCTGGAGTGCAGTGGTGTGATCTTGCCTCACTGCAACCTCCGTCTCCCGATTTCAAATGATTCTCCTGCTTCAGCCTCCTGAGTAGCTGGGATTACAGGCACCCGCCACCGTGCCTGGCTAATTTTTTGTGTTTTAGGTAGAGACAGGGTTTCACCATGTTGGTCAGGCTGGTCTCGAACTCCTGACCTCAGGTGATCTGCTTCCCTTGGCCTCCCAAAGTGCTGGGATTACAGGTGTGAGCCACCGTGCCCTACCTGAATAATTAGTTTGTTTGAGACAGGATCCATCTCTGTCACCCAGGCTAGAGTGCAGTGGTGCAGTCATGGCTCACTGCAGTCTCAACCTGCTGGGCTCAAGGGATCCTCCCACTTCAGCCTCCCAAGTAGCTGGGAGTACAGGCATACGCCACCACACACAGCTAATTATTGTTTTATTGTTTTGTTTTGTTTTTAGAGCTGGGGTTTCACCATGTTGCTCAGGCTGGTCTCCAACTCCTGGGCTCAAGTGATCCACCCAGGTCAGCTTCCCACAGTGCTGGGATTACAGGCGTGAGCCACCGCACCTGACCTTATTAAGCATTTATTGATCAAGTGCCTTCCCCACCATGGTTAAAGAAATATGTGTTTGTTATGGGACATTTATAAAATACTGCAATGTAAAGAAGACAGAACTGGCTGGGCACAGTGGCTCACGCCTGTTAATCCCAGCACTTTGGGAGGCTGAGGCAGGTGGATCCCTTGAGGTCAGGAGTTCGAGACCAGCCTGGCCAACATGGTGAAACCCTGTCTCTACTAAAAATACAAAAATTAGCCAGGCGTGGTGGTGCACACCTGTAATCTCAGCTACTCAGGGTGCTGAGGCAGGAGAATTGCTTGAACCCAGGAGGCGGAGGTTGCAGTGAGCTGAGATTGTGCCAGTGCACTCCAGCCTGGGTGACAGAGTGAGACTCTGTCTCAATAAAAAAGAAGACAGAACTAAACAACTTTGATCTGCACCAGCCCCAGGAGAATCACTTTTATGGATCTTTCTAGTCTTGTTTATAATAGGTTTGTGTGTGTATTTATATATTTTTATGTAAAACTGGGACCATCCTCTAGCTTTTCTATTCTTGTTCATCTTTAAATAGACTCAAGAATACACTAAAATTATTTATTGTTTAGTTGACATGTATACTTGTATATATTATGTACAGCATGATGTACATTGTATACATTGTAGAATGGCTAAATCAAGCTAATTAACATATGCATTACCTCAAATACTTACCTGTTTTTGTGGTGACCACATTTAAAATCTCTTCTCTTAGGATTGCTTGAGCTCAGGAGTTAGAGACCAGCCTAGGAAGCATAGTGAGACCTTGTGTGTACCAAAGATTAAAAAAAAAAAAAAATTAGCCGGGCATCCTGGCATGTGCCTACAGTCCCAGCTACTCAGGAGGCTGAGGCAAGAGGATCACTTGAGCCCGAGAGTTCAAGGCTGCAGTGAGCCGTATTTGTGCCACTGCACTCTAACCTGGATGACAGAGCAAGACCTTTTTTTTGAGATGGAGTCTTGCTCTGTCACCCAGGCTGGAGTGCAATGATGCGATCTTGGCTCACTGCAGCCTCCGCCTCCTGGGTTCAAGCGATTCTCCTGCCTCAGCCTCCCAAGACTATAGGCGGGTGCCACCATGCCCGGCTAATTTTTGTATTTTTAGTAGAGACGGGGTTTCACTATGTTGGCCAGGCTGGTCTCGAATTCCTGACCTTGTGATCCGCCTGCCTCAGCCTCCCAAAGTGCTGGGATTACAGGCATGAGCCACCATGCCCAGCTGCTTTGTTTCTTTTCTAGTCTGGCACTGAAAGGGCCAAAGCTTTCTTCTTCAGAGTCAATGTGCCCCGCTCAGTAAACGGGTACTCAGGAAATGAACAAGGAATGGGGGAGTTGTGGGACCTCATTTATTTAGCAGACGTGATCTCAGACCTGACCAGGTGCTGGAGGTGTGAGATGAACCAGAGCTGTCCTTGTGCCACTCACAGCCCTAGGGAGGCAGGTGCAGGTGCACATTCGTTGGTTCATTCATTCATTCATACTGAGCCCCTGCTGTGCCCTTGGGGATCAAGAAAGAGCCGGCACTGTTGTCGGGTAGGTGAGAGGCACTACGGTGAGATCACAAAGAACAGTGAGAGGGCAATGCCTCAGAGTCTCAGAGGTGGATGAACATTTATTAAGCACCTGCTGTGTACCAGGTACAGCACTGTCACCTTCATGCACACTGTCCCAGGCAATCCCACCCAGGGCGCCTCTGATCCTGTCTCTGGCTTGTGGACACAGGTGTCCGGAGCACTGAGGTCCCTGAGACAGTGAGGACCCCGGCTGGACACACCTGGGCAGGTGATGCCTCCTCTCTTAGCCACACGTTCCTCTTCCGGGAAATGGAATAATTCCTTCTATTTTCTGGGATTCTCTAGAGGGGTTTTTTTTTTTTTCTGAGACGGTATCTTGCTTTGTCGCCCAGGCTGGAGGACAGTGGCACATCTCGGCTCACTCCAAGCTCCGCCTCCCGGGTTCATGCCATTCTCCTGCCTCAGCCTCCCGAGTGGCGGGGGACTACAGGCGCCTGCCACCACGCCCGGCTAATTTTTTATATTTTTTACTAGAGACGGGGTTTCACCGTGTTAGCCAGGATGGTCTCGATCTCCTGACCTCATGATCCAGCCACCTCGGCCTCCCAAAGTGCTGGGATTACAGGCATGAGCCACCACGCCCAGCCTCTCTAGAGGATTAAGTAAAGCTGTGTCTGTGACTTTTTTAGCAAATCAAGTACCAGCTTCTTGGTGTTTTCCTAAGATCAACAGCCAGGAATAAAGACAGCAGTGGATTTAAAAATAGTGAAGATCGTCCATTTTATGTGGTGTGTATTCTACCACACTGGGGCAGGCCAGGTGCAGCGGTTCACGCCTGTCATCCCGGCACTTTGGGAGACAGAAGTTTTGGGAAGATCAGTTTGTGAGATGACACTCTGACAAAGCTGGAAGCTGTGGCTCTTCCCAGCTCCCGACTAGAAAGAACACAAAGCAAAGAGCCCCAGGAAGCAGGTACCCACAGCCTTGTTTATCAGGGAGTTTGAGATCAGCCTGGGCAACATAGCAAGACCTCATCTCTACAAAAAATACAAAACAATCAGGCAGGCGTGCAGGCTCACGCCTGTAATCCCAGCACTTTGGGAGGCTGAGGCGGGCGGATCACAAGGTCAGGAGATCGAGACCATCCTGGCCAACACGGTGAAACCCCGTGTCTACTAAGAAACACAAAAAAATTAGCCGGGCGTGGTGGCGGGCACCTGTAACCCAGCTACTTGGGAGGCTGAGGCAGGAGAATGGCGTGAACCCGGGAGGTGGAGCTTGCAGTGAGCCGAGATGGCGCCACTGCACTCCAGCCTGGGTGACAGAGTGAGACTCCATCTCAAAAAAAAAATAAAAAACAATGAGGCAGGCGTGATGGTGTGCACTTGTAGTCCCAACTACTTGGGAGGTGGAGGTGGGAGGATTGCTTGAGCCTGGGAGGTTGAGGCTGCAGTGAGGGATTTTTTTTTTTTTTTTTTAAGACGGAGTTTTGCTCTTGTTGCCCAGGCTGGTGCAATGACGGGATCTTGGCTCACGGCATCCTCCACCTCCTGGGTTCAAGTGATTCTCCTGCCTCAGCCTCCCGAGTAGCTGGGATTACAGGCATGCGCCACCACGCCCGGCTAATTTTGTATTTTTAGTAGAGACGGGGTTTCTTCCTGTTGGTCAGGCTGCAACCTCCATCTCCTGGTTTCAAATAATTCTCCTGCCTCAGCCTCCTGAGTAGCTGGGATTACAGGCACCTGCCACCATGCCCGGCTACTTTTTTGTTTTAGGTAGAGACAGGGTTTCACCATGTTGGTCAGGCTGGTTGACCTCAGGTGATCTGCCCGCCTCGGCCTCCCAAAGTGCTGGGATTACAGATGTGAGCCACCACGCCCGGCCTGCAGTGAGCTTTGATTGTACCACTGCACTCGGGGTGAGACCCTGTGTCCAAAAAAAAAAAAAAAAAAAAAAAGTTGAGGCAGTTCCCAGATAAACAAAACAACAGGCCAGGCACTGTGGCCCACGCCTGCAATCCCAGCACTTTGGGAGGCCGAGGTGGGCGAATTGCCTAAGCTCAGAAATTCGAGACCAGCCTAAGCAACATAGCCAAACCCCATTTCTACAAAAAATTTTAAAAGTAGCTGCTTGTGGTGTCGGGCGCCTGTGGTTCAGCTATGTGGAAGGCTGAGGTGGGAGGATCGTTTGAGCCCTGGCGGCGGAGGTTGCTGTGAGCTGAGATCGCGCCACTGCACTCCAGCCTGGGCCACTGAGTGAGCTTCCCTCTCATAAAAAGAAAAAAAAAAAAACAGGCTGGGCGCGGTGGCTCACACCTGTAATCCCTGCACTTTGGGAGGCAGAGGCGGGTGGATCACGAGGTGAAGAATTCAAGACCAGCCTGACCAAGATGGTGAAACCCCGTCTCTACTAAAAATGCAAAAATTAGCAGGGTGCGGTGGCGGGCACCTGTAATCCCAGTACTCGGGAGGCTGAGGCAGCAGAATCGCCTGAACCCAGGCGGTAGAGGTTGCAGTGGGCCATGGGCCAAGATCACACCACTGCACTCCAGCCTGGGTGGCAGAGTGAGACTTCATCTCAAAAAAAAAAAGAAAAAAAACCAAAACAAAACACCAGAAGCTGGCGGCACTCCTGGGCGCCCAGCTGTGAGTGGAGTCTCCCTGTCCCGCCTTTGGGCCTTACCCGTGCTGCGCCTGCTGCCTGCATCCCCCTTCCCTGGGTCTCCGCACGTGGGCCCTGCCTCATTTTCCCGGTCCCAGTTTCTGCGTCACCTCCTGAGAGGGGCCTCCTGTCAGCTTCCACGCAGCTCTGTCACGGGTAGATTCTCTCACGAGTGGAAGTGGCTCTCAGCTGCACTGGAATGTCCGGTCCACACGGACGGGGCCTCGGCTGTGCTGTCCACCCTGTATTTCCAGTGCCCAGTAATAGGTGCTTAGAAAATACTTACTGAATGAGTAAGTATACAGTTGTACCAGGCAGGTGATGTTATTATCCTTTTTTTTTTTTTTTTTTTACAAGGAGTAAACTGAGTCACAGAGAAGTGATGTGACTTGGCCAGGATCATGCAGCTGGTCGGGGTGGAGCCAGGCTTTGAACCTGTCTGTCCTGCTCCAGAGCTGGTATTCATGACGGGTGTGCTGCAACCCCCTCCTTCTCACACAGAGAACCAGATGGTGTCTGTGTGTTACGCGCTGGACACCTAATTCACGATCCCCGCCGAAAACCACTTCGGGAGCATTATGAATTCCATTGTGTCCTCCACCCCCAAGGATAGGTTGGGATCCTGAACCCCCATCCCTCAGCATGTGACTTCATTTAGAGGTGGGTGTTTACAGAGGTCCTGAAGTGAAAATGAGGTCATTAGGGTGGGCCCTAATCCAGTGACTGGTGTCCTTATGAAAAGGGGAGATTTGCGCACAGAAACAGACGTGCTAGCTGGGCATGGTGGCGCATGCCTGTGGCCCCAGCTACTTGGGAGGCTGAGCAAGAAGACTGCTTGAGCCTGGGAGGTTGAGGCTGCAGTGAGCAGTGATTGCGCCACTGTACTCCAGCCCAGGTGTCAGAGGGAGACCCTGTCTCAAAGAAATATAAAAAATAGGCCAAGTAGACTGAGTGTGGTGGCTCACGCCTGCAGTCCCAGCACTTTGGGAGGCTGAGGTAGGTGGATCACGAGGTCAGGAGTGTGAGACTAGCCTGGCCAACATGGTGAAGCCCCGTCTCTACTAAAGATACAAAAAATTAACCCGGTGTGGTGGTGGATGCCTGTAGTCCAGCTACTTGGGAGGCTGAGGCAGGAGAATTGTTTGAACCTGGGAGGCAGAGGTTGCAGTGAGCCAAGATCGCACCATTGCACTCCAGCCTGGGTGACAAGAGTGAAACTCCATCTCCCCCCCCCAAAAAAAAAAAAATAGGCTGGGGGCAGTGAAATTGCAGCACTCTGGGAGGCCAAAGCAGGAGGATTGCTTGAGTTCAAGAGTTTGAGACCAGCCTGGGCAACATAGTGAGACCATGTCTGAAAAATCTAAAATTAAAAAAGGAAAAATGAAAAAAAAAAAAGAGACAGCTCCAAAGGGAAGAGGAAGGGAAGAGGGAGAGAGGAGATGGTCACCTGTGAGCCAAGGAGAGAGACCAGAGCGGATCCTCCCTGAGGGCCCTGAGAGGGAACCAGCCCTGCCCACACCTTGATCTGGGACTTCCAGCCTCTGGGACTGTGATTTTTTTTTTTTTTTTTGAGATGGAGTTTTGCTTTTATTGCCCAGGATGGAGTGTAATGATGCGATCTCGGCTCACTGCACCCTCTGCCTCCTGGTTTCAAGCGATTTTCCCGCCTCAGCCTCCTGAGTAGCTGGGATTACAGGTGCATGCCACCACGCCTGGCTAATTTTGTATTTTTAGTAAAGACGCGGTTTCTCCATGTTGGCCAGGCTGGTCTCAAACTCCTGACCTCAGGTGATCTGCCCACCTCGGCCTCCCAAAGTGCTGGGATTACAGGCGTGAGCCACTGTGCCCGGCCAGGTCTGTGAGGTTTTAAACCACCTGTCTGTGGCACTTTGTTACGGAACCCGAGCTGAGTGGTACAGGGAGGAAGGCCCTGTGGTTCAGCGCATTTTACAGCTGAGGAAACTGAGGCTGCAGTCTCCATCTGTGTGTCCTTTGGTTGCTTGTATGAGTGAGGTGGCAGGTTTGGGAATGAAACCACGCCTGCGGTGCCGGGGCTCCCACCGGTAACCTCCCGTTTTTGGCCTCGGGGCTCCGGCAGGAAGGAGTCCCAAGGCTTAGATGGAGGTGCGGAGGGCGTGTGAGTGTCCTGGAGCTGCTGTAACAATGTACTGCAAACCCAGTGGCTTACACCCTCAGACGTGCATTCCCTCACGGTTCCGGAAGCCGGCAGTCTGAATCGCGGTGTCCCTGTGGCTGTGACCTGTGAGACGGGCCATAATCCTCCCAGCCTCTTCCACTTCCAGCGGGGGCGGCCCACCCTCACCTTGGAGCTGTGCCTCTCCGGTCTTTGCCTCTGTCCACACATGGCCTTCTCCCCATGTGTCTCTGTCTCTGTTTTCCCTTCCTATAAGGACACCAGTCATTGGATTAGGGCTCACCCTAATGACCGCATCCTGACATGGCCACTTCGGCACAGACCCTGTTTCCGGCACAGGCCACATTCACAGGTTGTGGGAGCACAGGAGTGTTTCTGCTGGTGCATCAGGCTGGGGTCTGTCCTCACCGGGATGTCTCCTCCTCCACCCCTCTCTTCCAGAGGAGGAGCGAGTGGACATTCTAATCAACAACGCGGGTGTGATGCGGTGCCCCCACTGGACCACCGAGGACGGCTTCGAGATGCAGTTTGGCGTTAACCACCTGGGTGAGGCCTGGGCAGGGGCTGCACCATGGGTTCAAGCGATCCTCCCCCGTCGTCCTCCCAAAGTGCTGGGATTTTAGGTGTGAGTCAAAAGTGACCTTTTCATCATCCTTAATCCAGGTCACTTTCTCTTGACAAACTTGCTGCTGGACAAGCTGAAAGCCTCAGCCCCTTCGCGGATCATCAACCTCTCGTCCCTGGCCCATGTTGCTGGGCACATAGACTTTGACGACTTGAACTGGCAGACGAGGAAGTATAACACCAAAGCCGCCTACTGCCAGAGCAAGCTCGCCATCGTCCTCTTCACCAAGGAGCTGAGCCGGCGGCTGCAAGGTACGGGGGCGCTAGGCTCGGCCTCCCTCTTGCTTTACTCTGAGCCTAGAGCGGCCTTTCCATGATCCTAGGCTGATGGGAGGCCAAACGGTGGATCCAGAACAGAGTCAGCAAAAGTAGAGCATGTGGACCACGCTGCCCGCTTCTGGTGCCTGAAGCAGACATCACTAATCGATCGTTCTTCTGAGGATTGTCTGTTCATCCCAGGTGGTCTAGTCTGCCTGGATCAGATGTCCTTCCCTGCTGCTGTTGGGCAGGCAGCTCAGCCTTTTGGCTCCAGCCAGTGAGTCTCAACCAGGGGCAGTTTTGACCCGCAGTTGTCAATGCCTGGAAACACAGTGATCACAGCTGGCTTGGGGAGAGATTGCTCTGGGCATCTGGAGGGTAAAGGCCCAGATGCTCTCAATGTCCTACAGCGCACGGGATGGCCCCTCACTCCTCCCAACCCACAGCATCCACAGTGCTGAGATTGAGAAATCTGTGCTAGGCCTTTGCTTCTGAAAGACGGTCTGTGGACCAGCGGTGCCAGCCCCACTGGGAGCTGGTCAGAGTTACAGTATCTTAGGTCCCACCGCCACGCACCGATGCAGGCTCCCGGGGTAAGCTCAGCGTTCTGGGTTTATGAAGCCCTCCAGGAAAGCTCGGCTCCCAGCAGCCATGTGGCAGAGCCGCTCCGCAAGATAAGACCACTTCACTAAGATTCCAGAGCAAGAGGGACGATGGGGTTTGAGTGCAGGAAGCAGCCTGGTGCCCGGAAGCCCCACAGCTGGGTGTGGGCTGCCACAGCCTCCCAGGTGAGGCTGGACCCCTCCCTCAGTCTTCTCTTTCTTTCTTCCCCAGGCTCTGGTGTGACTGTCAACGCCCTGCACCCCGGCGTGGCCAGGACAGAGCTGGGCAGACACACGGGCATCCATGGCTCCACCTTCTCCAGCACCACACTCGGTGAGTCCCCTCCCAGCCTGGGGTCTCCACGTGGAGCCCTCCACCCCTGCTTTCTCAGCCCAGGGCCCAGGACCCTCCCTCAGAGACCGTCCCTGAGGCCTCATGCCTGCTCCTCGCCTACGTCTTCTGAGGCACAGAGCACAGGTCCCTTTCCTCCGTTGACCTGGCCTGCCAGCCTCTAACAGCCCCGGGAAGCAGGCAGAGCCCTGCTGGCGGATGAGAAAACCGTGTCTCAGAGGAAGAGGCCGTGGAGCTGACGCCTGGAGTCAGGCTGTACTCAGGGTAACTCCAGCTTCACCCCAAACCAGCTGCACCTCCTGGGGAAGAGCTGTTACCCCTCTGAGCCTGTTTCTTCATCTGCAGAGTGCAGGCCTTAATAGGACTCACCTCACAGTCACTGGGGGGGTTATACGAGACCTTCCTTGAAAGGGCCAGCACAGGACCCCGCCCAGAGAATAGGTGGAACAAACAGTTGGAGCTTTACTTACTTATTTTTGAGATGAAGTCTTGCTCTGTCGCCCAGGCTGGAGTACAATGGCATGATCTCCACTCACTGCAACTTCCACCTCCCAGGTTCAAGCGATTCTCCTGTCTCCAAGTAGCTGGGATTACAGGTGCACACCACCACACCCAGCTAGAGGTGGGGTTTCACCATATTGGTCAGGCTAGTCTCAAACTCCTGACCTCAGGTGATCCAACTGCCTCCCAAAGTGCTGGGATTACAGGTGTGAGCCACCACCCCCAGGCAGTTCATGCTTTATGACTAGTGTTTATAATCCTGAAAAACATGGAGTGGGTGATTGGTTGGCATCAAGAATCTTAACTTGGCGAGGCTAATAGCCACGCCTGTAATCCCAGCACTTTGGGAGGCTGTGGTGGGCGGATTACCTCAGGTCAGGAGTTCGAGACCAGCCTGGCCACCATGGTGAAACCCCGTCTCTACTAAAAATACAAAAATTAGCCAGGTGTGGTGGTGTGCACCTGTAGTCCCAGCTACTCAGGAGGCTGAGGCAGGAGAATCGCTTGAACCCGGGAGGCAGAGGTTGCAGTGAGCTGAGATCACACCACTGCACTCCAGCCTGGGTGACAGAGCAAGACACCAGGTCTCAATAAATAAATAAATAAATGTCTTTTTTTTTTTGAGACGGAGTTTTGCTCGTCACCCAGGCTGGAGTGCAGTGGCACAATCTTGGCTCACTCCAACCTCTGCCTCCTCGGTTCAAGTGATTCTCCTGTCTCAGCCTCCCAAAGTAGCTGAGATTGCAGGCGCCCACCACCACACCCAGCTAAGTTTTTATTTTTAGTTGAGACAGGGTTTCACACGTTGGCCAGGCTGGTCTTGAACTCCTGACCTCAGGTGATCCACCTGCCTCAGCCTCCCAAAGTGCTGGGATTACAGGCGTGAGTCACCACGCCCAGCCCTTTTTTTTTTTTTTTTTTGAGACGAAGTCTTGCTATTGTCACCCAGGCTGGAGTGCAATGGTGTGATCTTAGCTCACTGCAACCTCCGCCTCCCAGGTTCAAGGGATTCTCCTGCCCCAGCCTCCCGAGCAGCTGGGATTACAGGCACCCGCCACCACACCCAGTTAATTTTTGTATTTTTAGTAGAAATGGGGTTTCACCATGTTGGCCAGGCTGGTCTGGAACTCCCGACCCCAGGTAATCCGCCCGCCTCGGCCTCCCAAAGTGCTGGGATTACAGGCCTGAGCCACCTCGCCTGGCCAAAAAAAGATCCTTAACCTGAGGCTGGTGCCAGGTGCATTTAATAAGATGTTATTAAAGGAGAAATGGGGTAGGGTGAGGACTGGGGCTGACCAAGAGGAAGAGAGCTTCCATTTTCCTGGACAAAGCCAGGAAGGCTCCTTGGGGGAGGCAGCTTTTGGTCTGATCCCTGGTCTGGTGGGATTTGCCTGGGCAGTGCCAGGGAAGGGAACTGCAGATGGAGGCAGCCAAGGGGAAAGGGCTAGAGGAGGGCTCTGTGGGACTCCAGGGACCCGGAGCTCCCTGACCGGGGAGCGGGGCTTCCTTCCTTCTCTCTGAGCGAGTGTGGACTAAATGCCCTGTGGGCTGATTGCAGGGCCCATCTTCTGGCTGCTGGTCAAGAGCCCCGAGCTGGCCGCCCAGCCCAGCACATACCTGGCCGTGGCGGAGGAACTGGCGGATGTTTCCGGAAAGTACTTCGATGGACTCAAACAGAAGGCCCCGGCCCCCGAGGCTGAGGATGAGGAGGTGGCCCGGAGGCTTTGGGCTGAAAGTGCCCGCCTGGTGGGCTTAGAGGCTCCCTCTGTGAGGGAGCAGCCCCTCCCCAGATAACCTCTGGAGCAGATTTGAAAGCCAGGATGGCGCCTCCAGACCGAGGACAGCTGTCCGCCATGCCCGCAGCTTCCTGGCACTACCTGAGCCGGGAGACCCAGGACTGGCGGCCGCCATGCCCGCAGTAGGTTCTAGGGGGCGGTGCTGGCCGCAGTGGACTGGCCTGCAGGTGAGCACTGCCCTGGGCTCTGGCTGGTTCCGTCTGCTCTGCTGCCAGCAGGGGAGAGGGGCCATCTGATGCTTCCCCTGGGAATCTAAACTGGGAATGGCCGAGGAGGAAGGGGCTCCGTGCACTTGCAGGCCACGTCAGGAGAGCCAGCGGTGCCTGTCGGGGAGGGTTCCAAGGTGCTCCGTGAAGAGCATGGGCAAGTTGTCTGACACTTGGTGGATTCTTGGGTCCCTGTGGGACCTTGTGCATGCATGGTCCTCTCTGAGCCTTGGTTTCTTCAGCAGTGAGATGCTCAGAATAACTGCTGTCTCCCATGATGGTGTGGTACAGCGAGCTGTTGTCTGGCTATGGCATGGCTGTGCCGGGGGTGTTTGCTGAGGGCTTCCTGTGCCAGAGCCCAGCCAGAGAGCAGGTGCAGGTGTCATCCTGAGTTCAGGCTCTGCACGGCATGGAGTGGGAACCCCACCAGCTGCTGCTACAGGACCTGGGATTGCCTGGGACTCCCACCTTCCTATCAATTCTCATGGTAGTCCAAACTGCAGACTCTCAAACTTGCTCATTTAAAAGAAAAAAAAAAGAAGAAAATGTACCCGAGTCGTAGATTTTATTTTTCCTCTGTGCATGGGTGAATGCCCATGAGCTGAACAAAGGCAACTCATGGCTTTATTCCTTTTAGGAAACAAGGCATCAGTTTATCACCAGGGCAACAGGCCATGCAAAAGTTCAGACTTGGCCGGGCGCGGTGGATCACGAGGTCAGGAGATCGAGACCATCCTGGCTAACACAATGAAACCCTGTTTCTACTAAAAAAATACAAAAAATTAGCTGGGCATGGTGGTGGGCGCCTGTAGTCCCAGCTACTCGGGAGGCTGAGGCAGGAGAATGGTGTGAAGCTGGGAGGCGGAGATTGCAGTGAGCCGAGATCATGCCACTGCCCTCCAGCCTGGGTGACAGAGCAAGATTCCGTCTCAAAAAAAAAAAAAAGTTCCGACTTTTTAGAGATGAAAGCCCCTTTCACCTGTTTCACAGGAAATAACCGTTTAAGTCCGGGCATCTTACAAGACTGCTGTGTTAGAAACTGGATAGAGATCAGGGTGAGATGAAGGGGCTCTTAGCTTAGGTGCAGAACCGAAGGAGGCACCGAAAAGCTCAGTAATCGAGATAGAAAACATGTTTTCATATTTGAGATACTGGGGAGGCCAGGGATGCTACTCAATATCCCACAGTACACAGAACAGCCACCTAGTCTCGCTCTGTTGCCCAGGCTGGAGTGCAATGGCATGATCTCAGCTCACTGCAACCTGTGTCTCCCATGTTCAAGCGATTCTCATGCCTCAGCCTCCCGAGTAGCTGGGATTACAGGCGCCCACCACCACACCTGGCTAATTAAAGACGGTATCACCATGTTGGCCAGGCTTATCTTGAACTCCTGACCTCAGGTGATCCACCCGTCTTGGCCTCCCAAAGTGCTGGGATTATAGGTGTGAGCCAGTGCACCCAGCCCTTTTTGCTTTTTTAGAGACGAGGTCTTACTGTGTTGCCAAGGCTGGAGTGCAGTGCCGTCACAGCTCACTACAACCTCGACCTGTGATTCTCCTGCCTCAGCCTCCTGAGTATCTGGGACTACAGGTGCATGCCACCACACTTGGCTAATTATTTGTAGAGGTGGCAACATAACATTTGCTATGTTGCCCAGGCTGGTCTCAAACTCCTGGGCTCAAGTGACCCTTCCGCCATGGCCTCCCAAATTGTTGGGATTACAGGCATGAGCCACCGTACCTGGCCTTAGTTTTCTTTCCGATGCCACACCAAATGGCTAGAGGGTGTGTTTGGGATGACCTGAGTCTGGTAGGCAACTTCCAGTGGACCCCACGGTGCGACCACCTCCCTTTGAGTGTGGGGGAGATGTAGCGACTGGCTTCTAGCAGTAGGATAGGGCAGAAGTGACAGTAGGTTAGTCTTGTGGTTAGGTTACAAAACTGACCTCTGTGATGGTAGCGTCCCTCGTCAGCCCTCTTGTCTTGCCCTCTCGCTGGCTGGTGGTGATGGAGCCGGCTGCCATGGTGAGCGGCCCTGTGGAGAAGCCAGGGAGGAATGGAGACAATCTGGAGAAACAGAATCACACCAACAACCACGTGCGTGAGCTTGCTGTGTGCTCTTGCTTGGGAGCAAGTTACAGGTTCAGCCCAAGAGGAGCGGACCACTCCAGGGTGTAAATACCAGGAGGGGGAATTGGAAGACTACCCTAAGCATGCCGACCGGAGACTGTGTGTGTGTAGTAGGTATTTCTTACTGGGAGATCACGGAAAAGCAAGTTTGAGAAACACTCCCATCAGATGGGTGGGCCGAGGATAACCTCAAAGCCTTTGGTTCTCCGAATAGGTGCGTAGGACTCACCCAGGCACTCTTTCCTTTTTTAAATTGTGGTAAAAACTACATAACAGTGGCCAGGCGTGATGGTGCACGCCTGTAATCCCAGCTATTAGGGAGGCTGAGGCAGAAGAACTGCTTGAACCAAGGGGGCACCGCTCCTGGCTGTAACATGTTTTCAATATCCCCCCTCTTCGGTGGCACAGGGGCTGGCCCCATATACATGTGCGATGGCAACTGACAGGGTCCCTGATAAACCGGAGTGCTCCAGAAACACCCCATTGCGTGGGACGGAGGATGTTAGGTGGCCCTCCTAGCGTTTGAGTTTGATAAATGAGCAAAGGAAGTGGTTTTTACTAGAAAGCCAGCTTTCCTTTTTTTTTTTTTTTTTTTTCCAGCCAGCAAACCCCAAACAGGAACCTATGGTTGGTGATGGATGTGCGTTCAGAAAGCAGGGAGGGAGGGGGAGTCAGAGGTGAGGGGGTCATCAGCCATAGCTGTCCGCTGCATCACCCCCTCGCTATCTCCAGGAAGCGTTCTGGGCTTTTCCTGTTGTGCAGTGTGGAAGTGCTCTATCTTCATTCATATCAAGGAAAGTCAAAGGACAAACTAAAGCCGGCAGCGTCTTTCTGGCTTCCTAGTCAGGCTGTTCGGTAGCGGAGTGTCACCCTGATTTCCAGCCCCGCAGCACACACAGTGAGAGCCTGCCTGGCGTGATTCAGAGGCAACGTATTTCCCAAGGTGGCTGTGAAGGAACCAGGGGGATAAACACAGCCCGTGAACCGCACGCCAGAGGACAGGTCCGGCTGCCTGCCGCGGAGTCGTCACGGCGTGTCGCGTCTGAGCGCTTCTCCAAAGCACCCAAGTGGCACCCGGGGTGACAGTTACATCATCTTGAGTACAGTTCTCTCAAGGAAAAAGCAAGCCCAGCATCTTCTGCCATGGCAACCCTGGCTTGGAGCCTCCATAAGAGAGAAGGCCCTAAGAATAATACCATTTTCTTGCTCTAAGTTGCTCTTACGGGAAAGAAGTGATAATATTCTTCCTAAACGCCATCATTCGTGCATCCTTCCCACCTATATGTGTCACCGGATCATTCTCCGCCTGGGCGGGGCCGTCCTGTGCACTGCAGAATGCTGAGCAGTGTCCTTGGCTTCGACCGACCACATGCCAGGAGCACCCCAATTTCTGCCATCGGGTGATTGACTTCACTGTTGCATTTGATTTTTTATGTATCTTTTAAAAGGACCCAATAGGGCCAGGCACAGTGGCTCACACTTGTAATCCCAGCACTTTGGGAGGCTGAGGTCGGTGGATTGCTTGAGCCCAGGAGGAGTTCAAGACCAGCCTGGGCAACATAGTGAAACCCCAACTCTACAAAAAACAAATGTTTTATTTTTATTTATTTTAGATGGAGTTTCACTCTTGTTGCCCAGGCTGGAGTGCAGTGGCGCAATCTCGGCTCACTGCAACTTCTGCCTCCCGGGTTCAAGCGATTCTCCTGCCTCAGCCTCCTGAGTATCTGGGATTACAGGCATGCGCCACCACACCCAGCTAATTTTGTATTTTTAGTAGAGATGGCGTTTCTCCATGTTGGTCAGGCTGGTCTCAAACTCCCGACCTCAGGTGATCTGCCTGCCTCGGCCTCCCAGAGTGTTGGGATTACAGGCGTGAGCCACCACGCCCAGCCGGGTTTATAGTTTTATAACCCTTATGACAAATCTCATAGTATTCTGCAGGGATAAGCATGAAACCACTCGTTCAATAAGTGCAAACAAAAACGCCAACAATTCTTAAGACATTTCTAATCTTATTTTACCAATAATTTTAAAGCCAGCTTATGTATTAAAGATTTATAACTACTTTTATTAACACGTTTAAAATTCTATGCAGCTTAAAGCATTTATAATGGATAAAACTGCCAATACTGAGTGCCTGACATAATATTTGAAAGGTGGCAGGCATTCAACCATGGTCACTGAATGAGAGATGTAGGGAAGATGATGGCAGGGAGGTTTTTAGATATCAACACCCTGATAGTTCTCATTTTAACCACCTGTAAGTGCACATACAAGTCAACGGCACTGGCCGGGCGCGGTGGCTCATGCCTGTATTCCCAGCACTTTGGGAGGCCAAATCACAAGGTCAGGAGATCGAGACCATCCTGGCTAACACGGTGAAACCCCGTCTCTACTAAAAATACAAAAAATCAACTAGGCATGGTGGCACGCACCTGTAGTCCCAGCTACTCAGGAGGCTGAGGCAGGAGAATCGCTTGAACCTGGGAGGCGGAGGTTGCGGTGAGCCAAGATCGCGCCACTGCACTCCAGCCTCGGCGACAGAGTGAGACTCCGTCTCAAAAAACCAAAAAACAAAAAACAGTCAATGGCATTAAATATAAATACATTTACAGTGTTGTGTAACCATCACCACTATGGATCCCCCAGACTTTGTCATCATCTTCAACCTAAGCGCTCCCTATTAAATAGTAACTCCCCACTTTTCCCAGGCCTTGGCAACCACCATTCTAATCCCTGTCTCTATGAATTTGACTCCTCTCGATACCTCAGATAAGCGGCACAATGCAGTATTTATCTGTCAAGTCCGGAATATTTCCTTTAGCATAATGTCTTCAAGGTCCATCACGTTGTAGCATGTATCTGAATTTATTCTTTTATAATATTTTTTATTTTTTGGAGACAGAATCTCGCTCTGTCACCCAGGCTGGAGTGCAATGGCGCGATCTCGGCTCACCGCAACTTCCGCGTCCCGGGTTCAAGCCATTCTCCTGTCTCAGCCTCCGGAGTAGCTGGGACTACAGGTGCCTGCCGCCATGCCCGGCTATTTTTTTTTTGTATTTTTTGGGGGTTTTACTGTGTTGCCCAGGCTGGTCTTGAACTGCTGAGCTCAGGCAATCTGCCTGCCTCAGCCTCCTAAAGTACTAGGATTACAGGCATGGGCCACCACGCCCGGCCTTATTTTTATTTTTGAGACAGTCTCACTCTGCCGCCCAGGCTGGAGTGCAGTGGTGCGATCTCGGCTTACCGCAATCTCTGCCTCCCAGGTTCAAGCGATTCTCATGCCTCCGTCTCCCAAGTAGCTGGGATTACAGGCACCTGCCACCATGCCCGGCTAATTTAACGCCCAGCTAATTTTTGTATTTTTAGTAGAGATGGGGTTTCACCATGTTAACCAGGCTGGTCTCGGACTCCTGACCTCAGGTGATCCGCCCGCCTCGGCCTCCCAAAGTGCTGGGATTACAGGCGTGAGCCACTGTGCCTGGCTGATTTTTATTCTTTTAGTTAAGGCTGGTTGATATTACCTTGTGTGTATATACCACATGTTGTTTATCCATTGTTGTTGATGGACATGTGGGTGGTTTCACCTTTTGGCTATTGTGAATAAAGCTGCTATGAACACTGTGTACAAATATGTTAGAGACCCTGTTTTCAGTTCTTTTAGGTGTGTACCCCGAAGTGGAATTGCTGGATTTTATGGCAATCCCACGTTTAACTTCTGGAGGAGCTGCTGGAACTGTTTTCCACAGCAGGGGCGCCATGTTACGTCCCTGCCAGCAATGCACGCGCAGTTCAATTTCTCTGCATACTCACCAATATCTGCTGTTTTCCATTAAAAAAAATTATAGCCGGTCGGGTGCAGTGGCTCATGCCTGTAATCCCAGCACTTTGGGAGACCGAGGCAGGTGGATCAACTGAGGTCAGGAGTTCAAGACCAGCCTGGCCAACACAGTGAAACCCCATCTCTACTAAAAATACAAAAATTAGCCTGGTGTGGTACATACCTATAATCCCAGCCACTTGGGAGGCTGAGGCAGGAGAATCGCTTGAACCTGGGAGGTGGAGGTTGTAGTGGGCCGAGATGGCGCCACTGCACTCCAACCTGGGCAAAAAGAACGAGACTTTGTCTCAAAAGAAAAAAAAAAAATACAGCCATTCCAGAAGGTGTGAAGTCATATCTCACTGTGGTTTTGATGCGTATTTTCCTAGTGACATCAGGGAGTTTATGGGAGCACGGGAACACAGACCAGGCCCCAGCAGGCGGACAAACGGTGCAACGCCAGGCTGGCCAGAGGAGATAAGCGCGGCTCCTTGGAGCTTGTGTGCAAGTCACTGTACTGAGGAGCCGGCTACGGCTCGATGAGTCTCAATTAGGAAAGGCCGGGGCTGGTGGAGGAAGGGAGGAGAGCATTCTTCATCCTCATCACATCCTGAGCCTGTGCCCCAGGCTCCCACCACTTCCCTCCCTGGCCACAGAGCTCAGGACAGGGCTGAGGAACCATGTCTCCATCCCCGACCGCCCTCTTCTGTCTTGGTGAGTCCTGAGGGTCAGATCTGGGAAATGCTGAAGGACAGGCATGGACTGCCAGACAAAGGATTTTTAAGAAATTTGCATTGGTGATGAATTTCAGGACAAAAAGGAACCTGTAAGAGCCCCTTCATTTGTTGGGTGGGGAAACGGGGGGCCAGCGAGCTGGCATTTTGCATGAGTTATTCCAGTGTATTCATGGCTGGGTCAGGAAATGAACAGAGTATCCTAGCATTGGTCACAACTTTGTTCTACTACACTGCAGTTGCCCCTTTTTTAAAAAATGTGGGCCAGGCACAGTGGCTCACGCCTGTAATCTCAACCTTGGGAGGCCGAGGTGGGTGGATCACCTGAGGTCAGGAGTTCAAGACCAGCCTGGTCAACATGGTGAAACCCCATCTCTACAAAAATTAGCCGGGCGTGATGGCGGGTGCTTGTAATCCCAGCTACGTGGGAGGCTGAGGTGGGAGAATTGCTTGAAACTGGGAGGCAGAAGTTGCAGTGAGCTGAGGTCAGGCATTGCACTCCAGCCTGGGCAACAGAGAGAGCCTCCATCTCAAAAAAAAAAAAAAAAAAAAAAAAAAAGGCTGAGTGCCATGGCTTACACACTTTGGGAGGCCGAGGCGGGTGGGCCATCTGAGGTCGGGAGTTTGAGACCAGCCTGACCAACATGGAGAAACCCCATCTCTACTAAAAATACAAAATTAGCCGGGTGTGGTGGCACATGCCTGTAATCCCAGCTACTCTGGAGGCTAAGGCAGGAGAATCGCTTGAACCTGGGAGGTGGAGGTTGCGGTGAGCCAAGATCACACCATTGCACTCTGGCCTGGGCAACAAGAGCGAAACTCCGTCTCAAAAAAAAAAAAAAAAAAATTGTGGAATTGATATCTGGACTAGGTATGGATTTAATTTGTCAGTATCCCCTACAGTAGTGGAGTAAATAGTCTCCTGATGGATGGGTGGCAGGTCGAATGCATTTCTGCTGCCTGATCTTCACTTGTGCTGGGCATGTCGAATGCATTATTTCCTGATTTCTTCAGAATTTGACCACTAAAGGGACAGCATCTCCAAAAGGCTAAGCAGGAAGAAGATGGTTGCATTACTGGAGATGAGAGGGTTAACTGTGAATATAAACAACCTCTCATTCATTATCCATCCATGGATGTATTCTTTTTTTCTTTTTGTTTGTTTTTTGAGATGGAGTCTCGCTCAGTCGGTCGCTCAGGCTGGAATGCAATGGCATGATCTCAGCTCACTGCAAACTCTGCCTCCCGGGTCCAAGTGATTCTCCTGCCTCAGCCTCCCGAATAGTTGGGATTACAGGCATCTGCCACCAGGTCTGGCTAATTATTGTATTTTTAGTAGGGGCGGGGTTTCACCATGTTGGCCAGGCTGGTCTCAAGCTCCTTACTTCAGGTTCCACCCGCCTCGGCCTCCCAAAGTGCTGGGATTACAGGCGTGAGCCACCGCACCCAGCCTGTTTTAACTTTTATTTATTTAATTTTATTTGAGATAGGGCCTCACTTCTGTCACCCAGGCAGGAGGGCAGTGGCATGATCATGGCTCACTGCAGCCTCAACCTCCCAGGCTCAACCAGTGCCTCCCCATCAGCCTCCTGAGTATCTGGAACTACAGTTGTACACCATCATGCCTGGCTTGTTTTTGTAATTTTTTTAGTTACGGGGGTCCGCTATGTTGCCCAGGCTGGTCTTGAACTCCTGGGCTCAAGCGATCCACCCACCTCGGCCTCCCAAAGTGTTGGGGTTACAGGTGTGGCCTGTACAGGTTACTGCATCTGGCTTGTTGCTTCAGTAGCTTTTGGGATACAAGTGGTTCTTGGTTACATGGATGAATTATATTCTGGTGAATTCTGAGATTTTAGTGCACCTGTCACCTGACTAGTGTACCTTGTACCTAATGTGTAGTTTTTCATCCCTGCCCCACTTCTGCCCTTCCCTTCTGAGTCTCTGAAGTCCATTACATCACTCTGCATGCCTTTGCATACCCACAGCTTAGCTCTCACTTATAAGTGAGAATATACAGATTTTTGTTTTCCACTCCTGTATTACTTTACTTAGAATAATGCCTTCCAGCTCCATCCAAGTTGCTGCAAAAGACTTTTTTTTTTTTTTTTTAAAGACGGAATCTCGCTCTCTCACCAAGGCTGGAGTGCAGTGGTGTGATCTCGGCTTACTGCAAACTCCACCTCCCGGGTTTAAGTGATTCTCCTGCCTCAGCCTCCCGAGTAGCTGGGACTACAGGCACCCGCCACCATGCCCGGCTAATTTTTGTATTTTTAGTAGAGATGGGGTTTCACCATGTTGGGCAGGATGGTCTTGATCTCTTGACCTCGTGATCCACCCACCTCGGCCTCCCAGAGTGCTGGCATTACAGATGTGAGCCACTGTGCCTGGCCAAAAGACATTATTTCACTCCTTTTAATGGCTGAGTAGTATTCCACGCTCATTTATTTTTATTTATTTTTATTTTTTGACATGGAGTCTCACTCTGTTGCCCAGACTGGAGCGCAGTGGCATGACGTTGGCTCACTGCAACCTCCACCTCCCAGGTTCAAGCGATTCTCCTGCCTCAGCCTCCCAAGTAGCTGGGATTACAGGCTCCTGCCACTACGCCCCGCTAATTTTTGTATTTTTAGTAGAGACAGGGTTTCACCATGTTGGTCAGGCTGCTCTCGAACTCCTGACTTCAGGTGATCCGCCCACCTTGGCCTCCCAAAATGGGATTACAGGTGTGAGCCAGCGCGCCCGGCCGGTGAGAACATTTAAAATCTACTATCGGTGATATGCAAGTGTACAATATGTTGTTATTAACTACAGTCACCATGATGTGCAGTAGATCTCCAAGACATACTCCTCTTGTCCAACTGAAACTGTCCTCCTCTGACCAACATCTCCCCAAACCTTACCCCACCGCCCCGGTAACCACCACTGTGCTCTCTACTCCTGTAAGTTCCCAAGTCCACACTCTTTACCACTAATTGGTGCTGCTAGGGTTTGAATCTACTCCTGCCAGCTGTAGGACTGTGGATAAGATACTGTCTCACTAGCCTGATGTATAAGAGGGGACTGATAATGGTGGGTAACCCGTACGATTATGGCGACTTGGAGTCCATGCACAGAAGGCGCTCAGCACGGCGCCTGGAAGACTCCCAGCCATGGTACAGCGTCGCATGGAAACCTACAAAGAGGCTGAGGTGGGCTGTGATGCGGCAGGAGGAGGGGGACAGAGAAGCGGCCGGAGCTTGCGTTGGGGTGCAGAGGGAGCCTGGGGTGGACAAAGGGTGGTGGCTATGGGGGCGCTGGTGACAAGTTGTCACTCTCTGAGCTCAGAGTCAAGACATGAGCTGGGTTCACCCACTTCTTGCTATGTGAGCTACACAAGGTTGCTTGGCCTCTGCCCAGTTTCCTTATGTTTACAGTGGGAATGACAACTATCCCGCCTTTGTGTGTGTGTGTGTGTGTGTGTGTGTGTAAGAATGAGGGTTACCAGATAAAACACTGGATGCCTGGTTAAATTGGAATTTCAGATAATTAGTACTTTTTTTTTCCTCCTCCTCTTCGTTTTCTGAGACAGGGTCTTGCTCTGTTGTCAGTCTGGAGTGCAATGGGGCAATATCATTTTTTTTTTTCCTCGAGATGGAGTCTTGCTCTGTTGCCCAGGCTGGAGTGTAGTGGCGTGATCTTGGCTCACTGCAACCTCCGCCTCCCGGGTTCAAGTGATTCTCCTGACTCAGCCTCCCCAGTAGCTAGGATTACAGGCACGTGCCACCATGCCCAGCTAATTTCTGGTATTTTTAGTAGAGATGGTGTTTCACCATGTTGACCAGGCTGGTCTTGAACTCCTGACCTTGTGATCCGCCCACCCTGGCCTCCCAAAGTGCTGGGATTATAGGCATGAGCCACCGTGCCCGGCCAGTGGTGCAATCTTACCTCACAGCAGACTTGACCTCCTGGGCTCAAGCAATTCCAGGAGGGGATCGCTTATGTACATGTATTTGTATACATATGTATACACACACACACACACACACACACACATGCATACATATATACATATACATACATATACACGTGTGTATGTACACACGTGTATATGTACATACACATGTATGTATAGATGTAGGTTTACATATATGCACTATATGTGTATATACATATAGTAATCAGATCAGGGTAAGTAGCACACCCATCTTCTCAAACATGCATCCTTTCTGTGTTGGGAACTTTCCCCATCCTCCTTCAGGCTATTTGAAACGATTATTATATATATTATATCCTATCATGTAATCATGGAATACTGATTCAAGCAAATGTTGTAAATACCGGGAAACCCATGGCCAGCACATGCTGAGACGTCCTGACTTACACGCTGAGGCTCCATCCTGCTCCATCCTTGGAGCCCAATGCATCCCATTAGTGTGGGGTTTTATCGCATATATTACATAGACAATAAAATACAATAATATACAATATGCAATAGTATTTACAATACTTGTCTATACAATTGCATACTATTGTAATGTACTTGGATATTATTTAATATTGGGAGACTGAAGGGAGGAAACGAAGGGACAGCAATGTCTCAGGTCCCATTCCTCACATCCACTGAGGAAGTCAATGGGCAATGTCTAACACGAACGAGCCCACCGTGTCTAACACAACACAAACGAGCCCACCGTGTCTAACACAACACGAACGAGCCCACCGTGTCTAACACAACACGAACGAGCCCACCGCGTCTAACACGAACGAGCCCACCGCGTCTAACACGAACGAGCCCACCGTGTCTAACACAACACGAACGAGTCCACCGTGTCTAACACAACACGAACGAGCCCACCGTGTCTAACACAACACGAACGAGTCCACCGTGTCTAACACAACACGAACGAGTCCACCGTGTCTAACACGAACGAGTCCACCGTGTCTAACACGAACGAGTCCACCGTGTCTAACACGAACGAGTCCACCGTGTCTAACACAACACGAAGGAGTCCACCGCGTCTAACACGAACGAACCCACCGCGTCTAACACGAACGAACCCACCGTGTCTAACACGAACGAACCCACCGTGTCTAACACGAACGAGTCCACCGTGTCTAACACAACACGAACGAGTCCACCGTGTCTAACACAACACGAACGAGTCCACCGTGTCTAACACGAACGAGTCCACCGCGTCTAACACGAACGAGTCCACCGTGTCTAACACAACACGAACGAGTCCACCGTGTCTAACACGAACGAGCCCACCGTGTCTAACACGAACGAGCCCACCGTGTCTAACACGAACGAGTCCACCGTGTCTAACACGAACGAGCCCACCGTGTCTAACACGAACAAGTCCACAGAGAGCAGTACGCCACCATGCCTTGCCCTCCTCTCCCACCACCCCCAGCCATGGATCTGCTTTCTTCTCCATCTCCTATAGATTTACCTATTCTGGATATTTCATGTAAATGACCTCATAAACTATGTGGCTTTTTCTGACCGGTTTCTCTCACTTAAATTACATTCCTGTGTGTCTTTTGAAGAAATTATTAGGACAGAGTAAAGCATATGCATGCAAATGTCTTATCACCGCGCCCAGCAGGCAGGAATGTCCATAAAAGCGAGTCCTGGCATCTGGTCCCTTTCTTCTTTCCTCAGGGCTGTGTCTGGGGCGTGTGCCAGCGCAGAGTGGTGAGTCCTTCCCCAGACCCCTTCCCTCCTGCGGGATCCGCCAGCGCGGGAGCAGCGGGGTCCAGGCGGGGTCTGCGGGGAGGCTGACCCAGCCCTGCTCCTCTTCCAGGACCGCTCCCCAAGCCCTCCCTCCAGGCTCTGCCCAGCTCCCTGGTGCCCCTGGAGAAGCCAGTGACCCTCCGGTGCCAGGGACCTCCGGGCGTGGACCTGTACCGCCTGGAGAAGCTGAGTTCCAGCAGGTACCAGGATCAGGCAGTCCTCTTCATCCCGGCCATGAAGAGAAGTCTGGCTGGACGCTACCGCTGCTCCTACCAGAACGGAAGCCTCTGGTCCCTGCCCAGCGACCAGCTGGAGCTCGTTGCCACGGGTAAAGGAAGGGGGATCGGAGCCTGGGACTGCGTGGTCCTCCGTTCAGGACACAAATACGGGGGACATTGAGGGCAGGGATTAGGGTGAGGCAAACGAGGCACTGGCCTAGCGGGTGGTGGTGCCACGACATTTATGGATCAATGTGAATAATATTTTGTTTTTTGGACACAGGGTCTTGCTGCGTCACCCAGGGTGGAGAGCAGTGGCGCGATCTTGGCTCACTGCAGCCTCCACCTCCAGGGCTCAAGCGATTCTCCCGCCTCAGCCCTCCAAGTAGCTAGGATTACAGGTGTGCACCACCACGCCCAGCTCATTTTTTATGTTTTTATAGAGATGGGGTCTCTTGACAGTTTTCACAAAAGGCATTAAAATACAAAAGAGAGAGAGATAGGGTCTCGCTATGTTGCTCAGGCTGGTCTCGAACTCCTGTGGGCTCAAGCTATCCTTCCACCTTGGCTTCCCAAAGTGTTGGGATTTCAGGCGTGAGCCACTGCATCTGGCTGTGAATAACATTTTCATGCAATTTTTAAAAAAATCAAAATAAATTGCAAAAACATCCACAATGAAAAAAACCAGAATTTCAAATAAAGGCAGAATCAGCCAGTGCCTGTGTCAAGTCATACCAGAGTCTGTGCCAAAACGAAAAACAGGCAACCCTTTATCTGTGTTTTAATGCACTTAAAAAAATTAGCGATGGGGTCTTGCTACACTGCCCAGGCCGGAGTGCAGTGGCTGTTCATAGGAGCAGTCATAGCTCACTGCAGCCTGGAGCTCCTTGCCTTGAGCAATCCTCCTGCCTCAGCCTCATGAGTAGCAGGGACTACGGTCACGGGCCACCGTGCTTGGCTCGGGATTCTTTTTAAAACTTTGTTTTGGAGTAATTTTTAGACTGACAGAAAAGTTCCAAAGATAATATTAATGGAAATATTTCACCCAGGATCCCCTCATGTTAACATCTTACATTTGTTACAACCAAAAAATAAACGTAGCACTGGTCCCAGTGGTTTACACCTGTAATCCCAGCACTTTGGGAGGCTGAGGCGGGAGGATTGCTTGAGCTCAGGAGTTCAAGACCAGCCTGGGCAACATAGTGAGACCTCATCTTTAAACAAAATTAAAAATTAGTGGGGCATGGTGGCATACACCTATAGTCCCAGCTACTCAGGAGGCTGAGGCAGGAGGATCGCTTGAGCCAGGGAGGCCGAGGCTGCAGGGAGCTGTGATCACGCCACTGCACTCCAGCCTGGGTGACAGAGTGAGACCCTGTATCAAAAAACAAACAAAAAACTAACCATAGACACAACTATATTATATCAAGTAAACTCCAGGCTATTTGAATTTCACCAGTCTTTCCACTAATATCCTATTTCTGTTCCCAGACCCCGTCCAGGGCCCCACAGTGCATTTAGTATTTATGTCTCCTTAGACTCTTGATTGGTGCAAATATTCTAATTTCTTTTCTTATTTATTTATTTTTTTTAAGAGAAGAGGTTGGGCCGGGCGCGGCGGCTCACGCCTGTAATCCCAGTACTTTGGGAGGCTGAGGTGGGTGGATCACTTAAGGTCAGGAGTTTGAGACCAGCCTGGCCAACATGGTGAAACCCCGTCTCTACTAAAAAAAATAATAATAATTAGCTGGGCGCGGTGGCGCACTCCTGTAATCCCAGCTACTCCGGAGGCTGAGGCAGGAGAATCGCTTAAACCTGGGAGGCGGTGAGCCGAGATTGCACCACTGCAGTCCAGCCTGGGCGACAGAGCAAGACTCCGTCTTGGGAAAAAAAAAAAAAGAGAAGAGGTCTTACTATGTTGCCCAGGCTTTAGTACACTCGCTGTATTCACAGGCATGATCATAGCTCACTTTAGCCTCAAATCCCTGGGCTCAAGTGGTCCTCCCTAGTAGCTGGGACTATAGGTGCACCCAGTTAGTGCACTTTTAAATGGTTATTTTCTAGAAGTAGGTTTTGGAAATAGCACTGATGCGCTTGCATCCACAAAAGCCTAGAATGTAAAATTCTAATAAATCTTTCAGGGGAATAAAGTATTCAAACAGAATAATGTGAGTTTTAACGACCTACTCTTCAAATTTTCAATAATTTTTTCAAATATGTTAATTGTTTGGGAATAATTAAATTTTACATCCCAGGAGAGTGCCTCACTCACGCCACCCTAATTCCTGGCCAGCTGCACTGTGGTCTATTCCGCGTTATAAATCCTGCCTCCCTCCCCTCTTCCCTGCCTCACTCCCCTCCACAGCATCACTGGCCTCCTCTCTGCTACTAGAATGGACCAGCCTGGCTGCCTCATTACTTCTTTCAGGGTCAGACTCAAATACTCTCTTCTCGCTAAGTATATCCCCCACCACCCTAGTCAAAGTGGCCCTCCTCACTATCTGGTATGTGAAGTATACCTTTTTTTATCTTGGTGGTGGTTGTCTATTTTTAATTCCTGGTCGGGCACGGTGGCTCACGCCTGTAATGCCAGCACTTTGGGAGGCCGAGGTGGACGGATCACCTGAGGTCAGGAGTTCGAGATCAGCCTGGCTAACATGGTGAAACCCTGTCTCTACTAAACATACAAAATTAACTGGGCATGGTGGTGCATGCCTGTAGTCCCAGCTACTCGGGAGGCTGAGGCAGGAGAATCGCTTGAACCCAGGAGGTGGAGGTTGCAGTGAGCTGGGATCATGCCACTGCACTCCAGCCTGGGCAACAGAGTGAGATTCTGTTTCCCAAAAAAAAAAAAAAAAAAAAAAAAAAAAAAAATATATATATATATATATATATATATATATATATATATATATATATATATATATATATATGCCATTGCACTCCAGCCTGGGTGACAGAGCGAGACTCCGTCTCAAAACAAAACAAAACAAAACAAAACAAATGAAACAACAAAAAAAGAATACAGACAGACACATAATAGTTGCTTAAGTGAAAATTAAGAGAAAATATTGCTGAGTGAATGTTACAGTTATCAGGCAGCTTATATATTTCCTTCCTTCCTTCCTCCCTCCCTCCCTTCCTTCCTCTTTCTTTCTTTTTCTTCTTGTTGAGTGAATGCCATAATTATTAGGCAGCTTATATTTTTATCTTCCTTACTTCCTTTCTTTTGCTTTCTCTCTCTGTCTTTTTTTGAGACAAGGTCTCACTCTGTCACCCAGGCTAGTGTACAGTGATCATAGCTCACTGCAGCCTCGCCTTCCTGGGCTCAAGCGATCCTCCCACCTTGGCCTCCCAAAGTGCTGGGATGACCGGTGTGAGCCGCCGCACCCAGCCTCAACCTTTGTTTTTCTGACTCCTGTGTGCAGGCATGCATCACCACACCGGTCTATGACAACAACCTCACATCAGAGTAGTGTAGGTTCGTGTTTAGGAGCGGAGACCCTGGAATCAAACTCTGTGAGTGCAGATTTCAACTCTGCCACTTATGATCTTGGACAAGTTTTTTATTTATTTTTAAATTAAAATATGTCCAGCTTTGTTGAGGTATAATTGAAAAACAAAAATGGAATATATCCAAGGTGTACAAGTTGATGTTTTGATATACGAATCCACTGTGAGACAGTTACTACTAGCAAGCTAATTAACATACATCACCTGACACAGTTAACTTTTTTGTGTGTGAGAATACTTATAATCTACCCTCTTAGCAAATTTCAGCTGTACACTGCAGTATTGTTACCTAGAGTTGGACAAATTATTTAATGCCATGTGCCTTAGTTTCATTTATAAAATAGGGACATTAAGAGTGAGGACTCCATAGGTCTCTGAGGATTCACTGAACTGATATACATCATAAGTTTGGAAGGCACCCGGAAGCTAGCACTGTCAGCCACATTTACAACGTAACAATTGTATGTGGCAATACAAGCTTACAGCACAGTATAAGCTTAAGCTATTTACTTACTCCAGCGCTTGCTAGGCAACAGGCACTCTGCAAATTACTGTGTACTGTCTCATTCAGTCATCCCCATTTTAACAGAACAAGGCAGTGAGGCTCAGATACAGAGGGAGATTTGTCTCCAGGGCCACCAGGCCCCTGAAGGCAGAACTAGGATTTGCACCCAAGCACTAGGACGTGAGCACAGCCTCCTTCCTCAACCACTGGGTGACTCGACCTCTCTGTGAGCTTGGGTGGGGGAGTGCGCTCTCTGGGAGGGATACAGCCAAAAAGCTCCCCAGCTCTTAGGCAGGTGTGGGGACCTCCCCAGTCTCAGCTGAGATGCTGGCTCCTGCCTTCAACATCAGACTTTCTTTTTCTCCCAGGAGTTTTTGCCAAACCCTCGCTCTCAGCCCAGCCCGGCCCGGCGGTGTCGTCAGGAGGGGACGTAACCCTACAGTGTCAGACTCGGTATGGCTTTGACCAATTTGCTCTGTACAAGGAAGGGGACCCTGCGCCCTACAAGAATCCCGAGAGATGGTACAGGGCTAGTTTTCCCATCATCACGGTGACCGCCGCCCACAGCGGAACCTACCGATGCTACAGCTTCTCCAGCAGGGACCCATACCTGTGGTCAGCCCCCAGCGACCCCCTGGAGCTTGTGGTCACAGGTAGGGGTAGTGCAGACCAAACCTTTCTTCCTCAGCCTTTATAGGTCCTGATGGCCATTCCAAGGGAGGGGCCATAAGTGGGAAGGAAGTGGGAGGGCAGGAAGCCCTGGGCTGCAGGGGCGGGGCCGTAGGTGGGAAGGAAGTGGGAGGGCAGGAAGCCCTGGGCTGCAGGGGCGGGGCCGTAGGTGGGAAGGAAGTGGGAGGGCAGGAAGCCCTGGGCTGTAGGGGCGCGGCCATAGGTGGGAAAGAAGTGGGAGGGCAGGAAGCCCTGGGCTGCAGGGGCGGCGCCAGAGGTGGGAAGGAAGTGGGAGGGCAGGAAGCCCTGGGCTGCAGGGGCGGGGCCGTAGGTGGGAAGGAAGTGGGAGGGCAGGAAGCCCTGGGCTGCAGGGGCGGGGCCGTAGGTGGGAAGGAAGTGGGAGGGCAGGAAGCCCTGGGCTGCAGGGGCGGGGCCGTAGGTGGGAAGGAAGTGGGAGGGCAGGAAGCCCTGGGCTGCAGGGGCGGGGCCGTAGGTGGGAAGGAAGTGGGAGGGCAGGAAGCCCTGGGCTGCAGGGGCGGGGCCGTAGGTGGGAAGGAAGTGGGAGGGCAGGAAGCCCTGGGCTGCAGGGGCGGGGCCAGAGGTGGGAAGGAAGTGGGAGGGCAGGAAGCCCTGGGCTACAGGCAGCTGGGAGAATGGAGGTTTCTTTTTTTTTTTTTTGACGAAGTCTCACTCTGTCACCCAGGCTGGAGTGCAGTGGCGCGATCTCAGCTCACTGCAACCTCCGCCTTCCGGGTTCAAGCGATTCTGCTGCCTCAGCCTCTCGAGTAGCTGGAATTACAGGTGCCTGCCACCATGCCCGGCCAATTTTTGTATTTTTAGTAGAGACGGGGTTTCACTATGTTGGTCAGGCTGGTCTTGAACTGACCTCATGATCTGCCCGCCTCGGCCTCCCAAAGTGCTGGGATTACAGGCGTGAGCCACCGCGTCGGACTTGACTACCATTCTTAAAGGGGGTTTCTTTCAAAAAAGAGCAGCATACCTCATAATGTGGTTATATACATGCAATGGAATATTATGCAGCCTTAAAAAAGAAGGAAATTCTGACACATACTACAACATGGATATACCTTGAGGACATTATGCTAAGTCAGTCACAAAAGGACAACTACTGTATGATTCTAGTCAAAGGAGGTATCTAATGTCAACACTGTAGAAACACAAAGTACAATGGTGGTTGTTAAGGGCCAGAAAGAGGAGAGAGAAGGAATTAGTGTTTAATGGGCACAGAATTTCAGTTTTGCAAGAAAAATAAGTTCTAGAGGTCAACATATTGTACCACAATGTGAACATACCCAACGCCACTGATCAGTACATTTAACAATGTCATATTAAATCAAACAAAATACATCATTTAGTTTTTGGTAGAAAAATCTGTTTTGCCCCCAGGGTCACAGTGAGGGGTAGGACACAGGAATCCAGAAGAAATAGAACTGAGGTTGAAAAAGGTGGACGGGAGCTGCATGCATTTCCTTGTTAATAGCCCAGAATGTGCCAGGTGTGCTTTACAAATGCTGCTGCTTTTTTTTTTTTTTTTTTTTTTGGGGGGAGTCTCACTTTGTCACCCAGGCTGGAGTGCAGTGGAGTGATCTCAGTTCACTGCAACCTCCACCTCCTGGGTTTAAGCGATTCTCCTGCCTCAGCCTCCTGAGTAGATGGGATTACAGGCACCTGCCATCATGCCCAGCTAATTTTTGTATTTTTCGTAGAGACAGGGTTTCACCATGTTGGCCAGGCTGGTCTTGAACTCTTGACCTCAGGTGATCTGCCTGCCTCGGCCTCTCAAAGTGCTGGGATTACAGGTGTGAGCCACCACGCCTGGCTAAGCCTTTTTTTTTCAGATGGAGTCTTACTGCGTCACCCAGGCTGGAGTGCAGTGGTGCGATCTCAGATCACTGCAACCTCTGCCTCCTAGGTTCAAGTGATTCTCCTGCCTCAGCCTCCCGAGCAGCTGGGATTACAGGTGCACACCACCACGCCTGGCTAATTTTTGTATTTTTAGTGGAGACGGGGTTTCACCATACTGGCCAGGCTGGGCTTGAACTCCTGACCTCAAGTGATCTGCCCTCCTCAGCCTCCCAAAGTGCTGGGATTACAGGCATGAGGCACTGCACCCAGCTCAAATGCTTATTAACATCCACAACAGTCCAGTGATGTAAGCTACTTTAGGCTCATTTTTCCGGTGAGGAAACTCAGTCACGGAGATGTTTCGTTATTTGTTCAGGACCCACAGCGACAGAGCACAGATTTATCTCATTTTCTGATTTCCCAGGAACCTCTGTGACCCCCAGCCGGTTACCAACAGAACCACCTTCCCCGGTAGCAGGTAGGTTCTGCAGGGTCCATTCTGGTGCACAGCGTATGAGGTACACGGACCCCTTCTCTCTCTCCTCTCTGCCTAGACTTCTCGATTTAATTCAGTTGGTTCTTTCACAGATTTGCTTTGTTTTAAAAATCCTTTATTTCTGCCTGTAAACAGGGTGGGTGTCCTAAGTAGTTAGATGTTAAGATGCTGCCCCCAATCCTACTCTAGGTGGATGGTTTATCACATATAACATGCAGAAGAATAATCGGAGTGGCTTGCTATACTGTGGAGTCCAGCTGGTTGAATATGGGTGACAAAAACAAACAAACTAACCAACCAACCAACCAACCAACCAACCAACAAACCTGTAGAGTCCGGGACTCTGTTTCTGAGTCACTGAATGCATTGATCAGCGGTTCTCAAACTTCCATGAGCATAAGAATCACCTGGAGGCTTAAAGAATAGATTTCTGAGCCCCCAGGGCTTCTGCTTCAGTAGGTCTGGGGTGAATCCAGTCATTTTCATTCCTAGTAAGTTCCCAGGTGATGCTGATGCTATGGCTCCAGAATGCTGCTTTGAGAACCACTGCGGTAAGTTTTGTGTGAGGCGTGTTATCCCCTCCACTTTCACAAACATCTCAGCTGAATACGGTGTACCAGACTACGGCCTGCACTTTAAGAATATCATACGCTAGGCTGGAGGCTGGGCGTGTCTAACATTCCCTGTGTCTCAGAGTGAAGCACCAAGGCAGGAGAAACATGCTGGAAAGAGCCGAGGTTGATAAGGATGAGATTTGCGGGGTTGAGGGCAGAGTGAGGGCTATTATGCCTAGTGGGCAGGGACATGGAAGATGGTCACATACTGTGTGCGTGCATATGTGTGTGTGCGTGCATGTGCGTGTGTGCGTGCATATGTGTGTGTGCGTGCATATGTGTGTGCATGCGTGCATATGTGTGTGTGTGCATGCGTGCATATGTGTGCGTGTGCTTCTGACTGAATTTTTGAACTTTCTCTTTTGAAATGGTTCTAGAGTCACAGGAAGTCTACAATGATAGAACAGAAGAATCCCATGTGCTCTTTTTCCAGTTTCCTCTAATGGTTACATCTTACGTAATTAGAGTACAACATAAAAACCAGGAATTTGACATTGGCATAAAGTAGGTGTCTAGTTCTATGCCAATTTGTCACAGTTGTAGATTCGCGTCACCATCACCGCAGTCACTGTACAGAACTCTTCCGTCTCACAAGGGCCTCCCTTGGGCTACCCTTTTATATTCACACCTACACCCTTCTCCTTCCCTTGCCATCCCTAACTCCTGGTATCCATTAATTTGTTCTCCATCTCTATAATCTTCCATTTCTAGAATCTGATGTAAATGGGATCATCCAGTATGCAACCGTTTGAGATATCCTTTTGTCACTCAGTGCAATGCCCCTGAGGCCCATCCAAGCTGCTGTATGTATCAATGATGTGTTCCTTTTGATTGCTGAGCAATATTTCATGCTATATTAGGCCGATTTTGTGCTGCTATAAATATCTGAGACTGGATCATTGATAAGAAAAGAGGTTTAATTGGTTCATGGTTCTGAAGGCCGTATAGGAAGCAGAAGGCTGGCTTCTGCTTTTGGGGAGGCCTCAGGAAGCTTACAGTCATGGCAGAAGGCAAAGAGGGGGTAGCTGTCTCATGTGGTGGGAGCAGGAGCAAGAGAGAGAGAGAGTTGGGACTGGGGGACATGCCACACTTTGCAATAGCCAGATCTTGTGAGAATTCACTTACTATTGCAAGGAAAGCACCAAGCAATGAGGGATCCACCCCTATGATCCAAACACCTCCCACCAGGCCCCCACCTCCAACATTGGGGATCATAATCCAGTATGAGATTTGGTGGGAACACATATTCAAACTGTATCACATGGCATGCAAATACCACACGCTGTGTTGAAATCAAAATCAAAACAAGGTGTATTAAATAGGGAATCCTTTCCCCATTGCTTGTTTTTGTCAGGTTTGTTGAAGATCAGATGGTTGTAGATGTGTGGTCTTATTTCTGAGATCTCTATTCTGTTCCATTGGTCTATGTGTCTGTTTTTGTACCAGTACCATGCTGTTTTGGTTACTATCACCTTGTAATATAGTCTGAAGTCTGAGCCTGAGGCCTCCAGCTTTGTTCTTTTTGCTTAGTATTGTCTTGGCTATATGGGCCCTTTTTTGGTTCCATATGAATTTTATAGTTTTTTCTAATTGTGTGAGGAATGTCAATGATAGTTCAATGGGAATAGCAATGAATCTATAAATTACTTTGGGCAGTATGGCCATTTTCACGATATTGATTCATCCTATCCATGAGCATGGAATGTTTTTCCATTTGTTTGTGTCCGCTCTGATTTTCTTGAGCAGTGAATTGTAGTTCTCCTTGAAGATGTCCTTCACTTTCCTTGTTAGCTGTATTCCTAGGTATTTTATTCTCTTTGTAGCAATTGTGAATGGGAGTTCCTTCATGATTTGGCTCTCTGCCTGTCTATTGTTGGTGTATAGGAATGCTTGTGATTTTTGCACATTGATTTTGTATCCTGAGACTTTGCTGAAGTTGCTTATCAGCTTAAGAAACTTTTGGGCTGAGATGATGGGGTTTTCTAGATATAGGATCATGTCATCTGCAAACAGAGATAGTTTGATTTCCTCTCTTCCTATTTGAGTATCCTTTATTTCTTTCTCTTGCCTGATTATCCTGGCCAGAACTTCCAATACTATGTTGAATAGGAGTGGTGAAAGAGGGCATCCTTGTCTTGTGCTGGTTTTCAAGGGAAATGCCCATTTAGTATGAAATTGGCTGTGGGTTAATAAATGGTGCTGGGAGAATTGGCTAGCCATATGCAGAAAATAGAAACTGGACCCGTTCCTTACACCTTGTACAAAAATTAACTCAAGATGGATGAAAGACTTGGATGCAAAACCCGAAAACTATAAAAACCCTAGAAGAAAATCTAGGTAATACCATTCAGGACACAGGCATGGGCAAAGATTTCATGACAAAAACGTCAAAAGCAATTGTAACAAAAGCAAAAACTGACAAATGGGATCTAACTAAACTAAAGAGCTTCTGCTCAGCAAAAGAAAGTATCATCAGAGTGAACAGACAACCTACAGAATGGGAGAAAATGTTTGCAATCTATCAATTCACAAAAGTCTAATATCCAGAATCTACAAGGAAGTTAAACAAATTTACAAGAAAAAAAAAACCATTAAAAAGTGGGTAAAGGACATGAACAGTCACTTCTCAAAAGAAGACGTTTATGCAGCCAGTAAACATACAAAAAAAAGCTCAACATCACCAATCATTAGAGAAATGCAAATCAAAACCACATTTAGACACCATCTCACACCAGTCAAAATGGCGATTATTAAAAAGTCAAGAAACGCCGGGCACGGTGGCTCACGCCGGTAATCCCAGCACTTTGGGAGGCCGAGGCAGGCAGATCACAAGGTCAGGAGATCGAGACCATCCTGGCTAACACGGTGAAACCCCGTCTCTATTAAAAATACAAAAAATTAGCCGGGCGTGGTGGCGGGCGCCTGTAGTCCCAGCTATTCGGGAGGCTGAGGCAGGAGAATGGCGTGAACCCGGGAGGCGGAGGTTGCAGTGAGCCAAGATTGTGCCACTGCACTCCAGCCTGGGCGACAGAGCAAGACTCCATCTCAAAAAAAAAAAAAAAAAACCAACAAAAGTCAAGAAACAACAGGTGCTGGCGAGGCTGTGGAGAAATAGGAATGCTTTTACACTGTTGGGAATGTAAATTAGTTCATTGTGGAAGACAGTGTGGTGATTCCTCAAAGACCCAGAACCAGAAATCCTTTTTCCTTTTTTTTTTTTTTGAGATGTAGTATTGCTCAATAGCCCATGCTGGAGTGCAGTGGTGCGATCTCGGCTCACTGCAACCTCCACCTCCCAGGTTCAAGCAATTATCCTGTCTCAGCCTCCTAAGTAACTGGGACTACAGGCGCCTGCCACCATGCCTGGCTTTTTTTTTTTTTTTTCTTTTAGTAGAGATGGGGTTTTACCTTGTTGGTCATGCTGGTCTCAAACTTCTGACCTCAGGTGATCCACCTGCCTCGGCCTCCCAAAGTGCTGGGATTACAGGCGTGAGCCACCGCACCAGGGCCACCTTTTTTTTTTTTTTTTTTTTTTAAACAGAGTCTCACTCTGTCACCCAGGCTGGATTGCAGGGGCATGATCTCGGCTCACTGCAGCCTCTGCCTCCAGGGTTCAAGTGATTCTCCTGCCTCAGCCTCCCGAGTAGCTGGGACTGCAGGTGCATGCCACAACGCCTGGCTAATTTTTGGATTTTTGCTAGAGACGGGAGTTTCACCATGTTGGCCAGGGTGGTCTTGAGCTCCTGACCTCAGGTGATCTGCCCACCTCGGCCTCCCAAAGTGCTGGGATTACATGTGTGAGCCACTGCGCCTGGCCAGAAATACCATTTGACCCAGCAATCCCATTACTGGTTATATACCCAAAGGAATATAAATCATTGTATTATAAAGATACATGCACACATATGTTCATTGCAGCACTATTCACAATAGCAAAGACAAGGAATCAACCCAAATGCCCATCAATGATAGAAAGGATAAAGCAAATACAGTACATATACACCATGGAATACTATGCAGCCATAAAAAGGAATGAGATCATGTCCTTTGCAGGGACATGGATGGAGCTGGAAAACATTATCCTCAGCAAACTAACACAGGAACTGAAAACCAAACACTGCATGTTCTCACTTGTAAGTGGCAGCTGAACAATGAGATCACATGGACACAGGGAGGGGAACACCACACACTGGGGCCTGTAGGGGGAATTGGGGGAGGGAGAGGATCAGGATAAATAGCTGATGCGTGTGGGGCTTAATACCTAGGTGATGGGTTGATGGGTGCAGCAAACCACCATGGCACACGTTTACCTATGTAACAAACCTGCACGTCCTGCACATGGATTCTGGAACTGAAATTTTAATTGAAAAAAAAAAAAAAGGTTTATTAATGCATCTCACACGAAGAGAAATAACAAAGACCAAATAATACCCACACTCTCATTATGCCACCGAGAGCTGAGCATAAACTAGTTTTTTCCAAGCTGGTTCCACCATAAAAAGACTCCCAGGATAGTACCCACTGCAACAAGAGCTTCGTATTTATCAGCTGAGGCAGTTCAGGAATATTTTGGTGGCCTCAGGAGGCCCCTGGTTAAGAAAATGGCCTGGCCGGGCGCGGTGGCTCACGCCTGTATTCCCAGCACTTTGGGAGGCTGAGGCGGGTGGATCACAAGGTCAGGAGATCGAGACCATCCTGGCTAACACGGTGAAACCCCATCTCTACTGAAAATACAAAAAAATTAGCCAGGCGTGGTGGCGGGTGCCTGTAGTCCCAGCTACTCGGGAGGCTGAGGCAGGATAATGGTGTGAACCCGGGAGGCAGAGCTTGCAGTGAGCCGAGATTGCACCACTGCACTCCAGCCTGGACGACAGAGTAAGACTCTGTCTCAAAAAAAAAAAAAAAAAGAAAAAAAGAAAATGGCCTAAGTTGGAAGGTGGAGATCCCGTGTTCTGAGGCTAACACGAGCTCATTCTTCCTCTAGGCTCACGAAGACATGGATCCACATCTTATTATTCAAACTGAGATATAATTCACATACCATAAAATTCACCATGCCAACTAGGATGACTATGATTTTTAAAACAAAACAAACGGACAAGAAGTATTGGTGAGGATTTGGAAGAACCTTCTTATATTGCTGGTGGGAATATAAAATGGTGCAGCTGCTTTGAAAAACAGTCTGTGGCCAGGCGCAGCCTGTAATCCCAGCACTTTGAGAGGCCAAGGAGGGTGGATCACGAGGTCAGGAGATCGAGACCATCCTGGCCAACATGGTGAAACCCCGCCTCTACTAAAGTACAAAAAAAAAAGTTGGCCAGGCGTGATGGCAGGTGCCTGTAATCCCAGCTACTCGGGAGGCTGAGGGAGGAGAATCGCTTGAACCCAGGAGGTGGAGGTTGCAGTGAGCTGAGATCGCGCCACTGCACTCCAGCCTGGGCAACAGAATGAGACTCTGTCTCAAAAAAAAAAAAAAAAGAAAAAAAAGAAAGAAGTCTGGTAGTTCTTCAAAAAGTAAAACACAGAGTTACTGTATGACCCAGTGATTCCACCACCCCTGGGTGTGTACCCAAGAGAACAGAAAACTTATGTTCACACAAAAACCTGTACGTCAATGTTCACAGCAGCAATATTCATAACAGCAAAACGTGGAAAAAAAACCAAGTGTCTATCAATTGCTGAACGGATCTGCTTCTTACTAAGCCGGTCATGGAAGATAAGTCTTACACCTTTCGAATTTGTCTGTCTTCAGTGTCTGTGCAGTGTGTCAGAGAAAGGGGTTTCAGGGAGCCTAGATATCTCAAAAGGGGAATGGAGATATCTAGAGGATATAGGGAACCACGGGGAAGACCTAACATTGTTTTGCTTTCTTAGAATTCTCAGAAGCCACCGCTGAACTGACCGTCTCATTCACAAACGAAGTCTTCACAACTGGTGAGTAACCAGGCATTTCATGCTCAGCAGAAAGGAGTGTGAGGACGGAGCTCTCTCTTCCATTATCTAAGCCTGTAGGCTTTTAATCACTTCACCGAACTGTCCGTCTCTTACCAAGAAAGTCCTTGGTGTGAGGCTAGAGCATGGGTGCAGAGTGGAGCTCTGGGGTTCAGAAGGAGGAGCGTTTTGGGTGATGGGGCCATTTCAAAGATGGCGGAGCCAAGGCTGTGGCGGGACGACCGCCATCCCTACGCACTGCTCCCAGGATGAAGTCCTAGGCTTTGGACTCGGCTGTGATCCAGGTATTTAATCTCGCTCCTCACTGTGTCCAGGTAGAGCCCATGCTCGGACGCACACAGACTGTAGGCACCTGGACACAGCACATCTTCTAACCGCTCCAGGCCTCTGCAGATACGCTTTCCTCAGTCTCTTTCCCCTTGCCTGTCCTGGAAAATCTCCATTTCCTTCCAGACTAAACACCTTCACAGATTCCCTGATAATAGGTTAGATACTTCCACTGGGCCCACATGACTCTGGCTTTCATGAGGCACCTGATCCCACGTAGTTCTATTTTTTATTTTTTTGAGGTGGAGTCTTGCTCTGTCGCCCAGGCTGGAGTGCAGTGGTGCGATCTCGGCTCACTGTAACCTCTGCTGCCCGGGTTCAAGCGATTCTCCTGCCTCAGCCTCCCGAGTAGCTGGGATTATAGGTGCATGCCACCACACCTGGCTAATTTTTGTATTTTAGTAGAGACGGGGTTTCAGCATCTTGGGAAGGCTGGTCTTGAACTCCTGACCTCATGATCCACCTGTCTCGGCCTCCCAAAGTGCTGGGATTGGAGGCATGAGCCACCGCGCCCGGCATATCCCAGGGAGTTCTGTGATGGAAGCCTTCCCTATCTTCAGTTCGGAACCTCCCAATCACCCTCAGGATGCAGTTCCAATTCCTCAGCTTGCTATTCTGTGAGCTTAGATATCCAGCCCCTGTTGATCCCTCCAATTTTGTCTGCATACCTTCCACGCATTCCCATGCTGTTCTCAGCCACACACAGTCACTTGAAGCTCTCCTGGAGGCTTCCTAACCTCTCCTGACTCTGCACCCAACCCACTCACTCTGCCTTTTCTTCCATTTCCCCATGGCATCAATTCCTCAAGAAAGCCTTGACCGTCCAGGCTGGATCGATGGTTTCCTCTGCTCTCGCTCAGTGTCTTGTGGGCTGCCTATTACAGCAATTTTTACAGTATATTAAAATTATCGCTTTGTCTGTAATCCCAGCACTTTGGGAGGCCAAGGTGAGTGGATCACCTGAGGTCAGGAGACCAGCCTGGCCAACATGCTGAAACCCCGTCTCTACTGAAAATACAAAAATTAGCCGGGCGTGGTGGTGGGCACCTGTAATTCCAGCTACTTGGGAGGCTGAGGCAGGAGAATCGCTTGAACTCACGAGTTGGAGGTTGCAGTGACCTGAGATCACACCACAGCACTCCAGCCTGGGCAACAGAGTGAGACTCCGTATTAAAAAAAAAAAAAAATCGCTTTACTTTTTGGTCTCCTGCAATAGTCTGGGAACCGCAGATGGACAATGTCTTATGGTTTTTTTGTTTTTTGTTGTTGTTTTTGAGACGGAGTCTCACTCTGCTCACTCTGTGATCTGTGATTTCGGCTCACTCTGCGATCTCAGCTCACTGCAATCTCCGGCTCCTGAGTAGCTGGGACTACAGGTGTGTGCCACCATGCCCAGCTATTTTTTGTATTTTTAGTAAAGACGGGGTTTCACCATGTTGGCCAGGATGGTCTCGATCTCTTGACCTCAGGTGATCCGCCCACCTTGGCCTCCCAAAGTGCTGGGATTACAGGCATTCAGCCAGTGTCATGCCTGGCCTGACAATGTCTTATTAATATTTGGGTTCCCATGGCCCAGCACATGGCTGAGTACCTGGCGAGTCTCAGGAGATACTTGAGGAATAAGAGAGCTGGAGGCCGGGTGCAGTGGCTCACGCCTGTAATCCCAGCACTTTGGGAGGCCTAGGCGGGCGGATCACAAGGTCAGGAGTTCAAAACCAACCTGGCCAATATGGTGAAATCCCATCTCTACTAAAAATACAAAACTTAGCTGGGCGTGGTGGCGGACGCCTGTAGTCCCAGCTACTCGGGAGGCTGAGGCAGGAGAATCGCTTGAGCCCAGGAGGCGGAGGTTGAAGTGAGCCGACATCGGGCCACTGCACTCCAGCCTGGGAGACAGAGCCAGACTCTGTCTCAAAAAAAAAAAAAAAAAAGCTGGCACGTATGAGGTGCTCATATGTCAAGCACGGTGCTTTATATTTCTACCATTATTATTATCTTGACTTTCACATCAACCTATAAGGGATCTTGTTAATTTTATTGGACACATGGGGAACTGGCTCACAGATGCTGAGTCACTTGCCAGATAACTGACATCTAATAGGTGATAGAGTTGGGGTTCAAATCTGGAGGACAGCCTGACTCTACAGTTCTTGCTTTTTTTTTTTTGGACAGGGTCTCGCTCTGTTTCCCAGGCTAGAGTGCAGTGGTACAATCCTGGCTCACTGCAGCCTCAACCTCCCAGGGCTCAGGTGATCTTCCTGCCTCAGCCTCCACTGAGTAGCTGGGATTACTGGCACGTGCCACCACGCCTGGCTAATTTTTGTATTTTTTTGTAGAGATAGGGTTTTTCTATGTTGCTCAGGTTGGTCTTGAACTCCTGGACTCAAGCCAGCCTCCTACCTCAGCCTCCCAAAGTGCTGGGATTATAGGCATGAGGCACCGTGCCCGGCCCATGCTTTTCTTAAATGCTGTGGAATTGTGCCTCCCCATGTGTGTGTGTGTTCGGAGTAGGCACAGTGACAGGGGGCGGGAATATGGTTTCATTTCACACTTAGCCTTTGTTTGGTTCCCAGAGACTTCTAGGAGTATCACCGCCAGTCCAAAGGAGTCAGACTCTCCAGCTGGTGAGTAAGTCATCCTCTCCAGACCCCCTTCCTTCTCACCCGTCTCTTCACCAAAGCCAACTCCTTTGTCTACGCAGGGGCTGCAGCTCTCAGATCTTGGGTTCCAGTGTGTAGAGTAAAGGCAGAATATCAGCGTATGGGGTTCAGAATTGGGCATTAAGATCAGGTGGGAAGGTTGAGATTTTAAAAAGGGTCAGAGAAAGAGAGATTCCATCTCTTCCCCACCCCTTATAACTGTCCTCTCTTTTGCAATGCATCAGATAACGAGGCAGCATCTGTGTCTGGGGAGGAGTTGTCTCAGAGCCCTGTGAGAGCACAGGAGGGAGAGGTGCTACTTAGAGAATTGGGGTCATCTGGCCCTGACCCCTACTCGGGAAGGGAGGGACCCTCCAGGAAAGTGAGCGGCATCCCCTAGCTAGTAGAGAATAATAGGATCTCTGAGAAGCCCAGATGTGGCTTGGAGGGGGTCCTGGAGGTGGGCTCTTTCACCTGCTCCTGCCTCTCCTCATTCCTCCAGGTCCTGCCCGCCAGTACTACACCAAGGGCAACCTGGTCCGGATATGCCTCGGGGCTGTGATCCTAATAATCCTGGCGGGGTTTCTGGCAGAGGACTGGCACAGCCGGAGGAAGCGCCTGCGGCACAGGGGCAGGGCTGTGCAGAGGCCGCTTCCGCCCCTCCCGCCCCTCCCGCTGACCCGGAAATCAAACGGGGGTCAGGATGGAGGCCGACAGGATGTTCACAGCCGCGGGTTATGTTCATGACCGCTGAACCCCAGGCACGGTCGTATCCAAGGGAGGGATCATGGCATGGGAGGCGACTCAAAGACTGGCGTGTGTGGAGCGTGGAAGCAGGAGGGCAGAGGCTACAGCTGTGGAAACGAGGCCATGCTGCCTCCTCCTGGTGTTCCATCAGGGAGCCGTTCGGCCAGTGTCTGTCTGTCTGTCTGCCTCTCTGTCTGAGGGCACCCTCCATTTGGGATGGAAGGAATCTGTGGAGACCCCATCCTCCTCCCTGCACACTGTGGATGACATGGTACCCTGGCTGGACCACATACTGGCCTCTTTCTTCAACCTCTCTAATATGGGCTCCAGACGGATCTCTAAGGTTCCCAGCTCTCAGGGTTGACTCTGTTCCATCCTCTGTGCAAAATCCTCCCGTGCTTCCCTTTGGCCCTCTGTGCTCTTGTCTGGTTTTCCCCAGAAACTCTCACCCTCACTCCATCTCCCACTGCGGTCTAACAAATCTCCTTTCGTCTCTCAGAACGGGTCTTGCAGGCAGTTTGGGTATGTCATTCATTTTCCTTAGTGTAAAACTAGCACGTTGCCCGCTTCCCTTCACATTAGAAAACAAGATCAGCCTGTGCAACATGGTGAAACCTCATCTCTACCAACAAAACAAAAAAACACAAAAATTAGCCAGGTGTGGTGGTGCATCCCTATACTCCCAGCAACTCAGGGGGCTGAGGTGGGAGAATGGCTTGAGCCTGGGAGGCAGAGGTTGCAGTGAGCTGAGATCACACCACTGCACTCTAGCTCGGGTGACGAAGCCTGACTTTGTCTCAAAAAATACAGGGATGAATATGTCAATTACCCTGATTTGATCATAGCACGTTGTATACATGTACTGCAATATTGCTGTCCACCCCATAAATATGTACAATTCTGTATACATTTTTAAAATCATAAAAATAAGATAATGCACCGTCTCCACCCCTCTCATATTTACTTTCTGAAGGAAATGTTAGGTCTTCTCAAGGTAAAGTTCTATATTTATTATAGCGTTTAGGCATTTCTTGACCATCTAATGAGTGTAAAACTGTACCACTGGGCCAAGTGCAGTGGATCATGTCTGTAATCCTAGCACTGTGGGAGGCCAAGGCAGGAGGATCGCTTGAGCCCAGGAGTTCAAGACCAGCCTGGGCAACATAGTGAGACCCCATCTCTACTTAAAATAAAGAAGATAAAAATTGTTTTAAAAAAGGAAAAGAATGGCTGGCCACAGTGGCTCACGCCTGTAATCCCGGCACTTTGGGAGGTTGAGGTAGGTGAGTCACTTGGGAAAAGACAGAAGGATGGCACCAAGAAGTTCCAGGACGACGGCTGTGAATCAGGGCTAGTGAGCACACAGCTTGGGTGAAGGGGGAATGGGAAAGTTGCTTAGAGAAGCCTCCAAATGTAAGAATGGGTCAATTCCTCGTCTTAACATAGTGGAAAATCATACTGAGATGCTATCAGAAGACAGAGGAAAAATAATTTTAGAGGTCAAGTAAACTAAGTAGATTTTAAAAAGACCAGTATAGCCTAGGCACAGTGGCTCACACCTGTAATCCCAGCACTTTGGGAGGCTGAGGCGGGATCGCTTGAGCCTAAGAGTTCGAGACCAGCCTGGGCAACATGGTGAAACCTTGTCTCATATACAAAAAATATAAAAAATTAGCTGGGTGTGGTACCACATGCCTACTCTCAGGTACTCAGGAGGCTGAGGTTGGGGATCACCTGAGCCCGGGGAGGTTGAGGCTGCAGTGAGCCATGATTGCACCACTGCTGTCAAACCTGGGTGACAGAGTGAGACCCTGCCTCAAAAGAAAATAAAAATAAAAAACAAATATAAACTTTAGGGGAACAATAACAACAACAAAAATAAAAGAAGCAAGTTATATTACCCGAAAATTCTCGGCTGCGAATATCTGTGGGTATAAACATGTGATACTGGCCGGGCGTGGTGGCTCATGCCTGTAATCCCAGCACTTCGGGAGGCTGAGGTGGGCAGATCACGAGGTCAGGAGATCGAGACCAGCTCAGCCAACATGGTGAAACCCTGTCTCTACTAAAAATACAAAAATTAGCCAGTCGTGGTGGCACACGCCTGTAGTCCCAGCTACTCAGGAGACTGAGGCTGCAGTGAGCTGAGATTGCGCCACTGCACTCCAGCCTGGGTGACAGAGTGAGACTCTGTCTCAAAAAAAAAAAATGTGATACTGAATGTTGATATGCAGACATAGAGATAAACATTGGAAGAGAAAAAACAGTAAGAACAACGCTGTAGAATAACTAAGGCCCCGCCTATTATGATAGGAATCCAGTAAGTCTAAGCTCATTCACATGGTTACATGTTTTTAGAAACCTAATATTAACAAGTTCCTAAAGAAAACAGCTAAAAGTGGGTGTCTCTTAGGCGGAGCAATGGAGGAGATGGTTAGTCAGCCACTGCATTTTGTACACACCCTTTTAGTGCTATTGGAATTTTTTAGGTAGGTGCTGTCAGGCCTCTGAGCCCAAGCTAAGCCATCATATCCCCTGTGACCTGCACGTACACATCCATATGGCTGGTTCCTGCCTTAACTGATGACATTCCACCACAAAAGAAGTGAAAATGGCCTGTTACTGCCTTAACTGATGACATTGTCTTGTGAAATTCCTTCTCCTGGCTCATCCTGGCTCAAAAGCTCCCCTACAGAGCACCTTGTGACCCCCACTCTGCCCGCCAGAGAACAACCCCGCTTTGACTGTAATTTTCCTTTACCTACCCAAATCCTATAAAACGGCCCCACCCCATCCCCCTTCGCTGACTCTCTTGTCGGACTCAGCCCACCTGCACCCAGGTGATTAAAAGCTTTATTGCTCACACAAAGCCTGTTTGGTGGTCTCTTCACATGGACGCACATGAAATTTGGTGCCGTGACTTGGATCGGGGGACCTCCCTTGGGAGATCAATCCCCTGTCTTGCTCTTTGCTCTGTGAAAAAGATCCACCTACGACCTCAGGTCCTCAGACCCACCAGCCCAAGGAACATCTCACCAAGTTTAAATTGGGTAAGCGACCTCTTCTTACTCTCTTCTCCAACCTCTCTCACTGTCCCTCAACCACTTTCTCCTTTCCACTCTTCAATCTCTCCCTTCTCTTAATTTCAATTCCTTTCATTTTCTGGTAGAGACAAAGGAGACACGTTTTATCTGTGGACCCAAAACTCCGGCGCCGGTCACGGACTAGGGAAGGCAGCCTTCCCTTGGCGTTTAATCATTGCAGGGACGCCTCTCTGATTATATACCCACGCTTCAGAGGTGTCAGATCACGCAGGGATGCCTGCCTTGGTCCTTCACCCTTAGTGGCAAGTCCCACTTTTCTGGGGAAGGGGCAAGTTCCCCAACCCCTCCTCTCCATGTCTCTACCCCTTCTCCACCTTTCTGGGGGGCAAGAAACCCCCAACCCCTTCTCCTTCACTCTTAGCGGCAAGTCCCGCTTTTCTAGAGGGGCAAGTACCCCAACCTCGTATCTCTGCACCCTGATCCCTTATTTCCATGCCCCAACCTCTTATCTCTGTGCCCCAACCCCTTATATCCATGCCCCAACCCCTTTCCCGCTTTTCTGGAAGGTAAGAACTCCCGAACCCCTTCCCTCCGTGTCTCTACTCTCTCTTTTCTCTAGGCTTGCCTCCTTCACTATGGGCAACCTTCCACCCTCCATTCCTCCTCCTTCTCTCCCTTGGCCTGTGTTCTCAAAAACTTAAAACCTCTTCAACTCACACCTGACCTAAAACCTAAATGCCTTATTTTCTTCTGCAATGCCGCTTGACCCCAATACAAACTGGACAGCAGTTCCAAATAGCCAGAAAACAGCACTTTCAATTTTTCCATCCTGCAAGATCTAAATAATTCTTGTCGTAAAATGGGCAAACGGTCTGAGGTGCCTGACGTCCAGGCATTCTTTTACACATCAGTCCCTTCCTAGTCTCTGTGCCCAGTGCAACTCGTCCCAAATCTTCCTTCTTTCCCTCCTGCCTGTCCCCTCAGTCTCAACCCCAAGCGTCGCTGAGTCTTTCTAATCTTCCTTTTCTACAGACCCGTCTGACCTCTCCCTCCTCCCCAGGCTGAGCTAGGTCCCAATTCTTCCTCAGCCTCCGCTCCTCCACCGTATTATCTTTTTATCACCTCCCCTCCCCACACCTGGTCCAGCTTACAGTTTCGTTCAGTGACTAGCCCTCTTCCACCTGCCCAGCAATTTACTCTTAGAAAGGTGGCTGGAGCTAAAGGCATAGTCAAGGTTAATGCTCCTTTTTCTTTATCCCAAATCAGATAGTGTTTAGGCTCTTTTTCATCAAATATAAAAATCCAGCCCAATTCATGGCTCGTTCGCCAGCAACCCTGAGAAGCTTTACAGCCCTAGACCCTTAAAAGTCAAAAGGCCGTCTTATTCTTAATACACATTTTATTACCCAATCTGCTCCCGACATTAAATAAAACTCCAAAAATTAAATTCCGGCCCTCAAACCCCACAACAGGATTTAATTAACCTCGCCTTCAAGGTGTACAATAATAGAAAAAAGTTGCAATTCCTTGCCTCCACTGTGAGACAAACCCCAGCCACATCTCCAGCACACAAGAAGGGAACTGAACCGCAGCGGCCAGGCGTTCCTCCAGAACCTCCTCCCCCAGGAGCTTGCTACAAGTGCCAGAAATCTGACCACCAGGCCAAGGAATGCCTGCAGCCCAGGATTCCTCCTAAGCCGTGTCCCATCTGTGCGGGACCCCACTGGAAATCGGACTGTTCAACTCACCTGGCAGCCACTCCCAGAGCCCCTGGAACTCTGGCCCAAGGCTCTCTGACTCCTTCTCGGCTTAGCGGCTGAAGACTGATGCTGCCCAATCGCCTCGGAAGCTCTGTAGACCATCACGGATGCCGAGCTTCGGGTAACACTCACGGTGGAAGGTAAGTCCGTCGCCTTAGTCAATACGGAGGCTACCCACTCCACATTACCTTCTTTTCAAGGGCCTGTTTCTCTTGCCTCCATAACTGTTGTGGGTATTGACGGCCAGGCTTCTAAACCCCTGAAAACTCCCCCACTCTGGTGCCAACTTGGACAACACTCTTTTATGCACTCTTTTTTAGTTATCCCCACCTGCCCAGTTCCCTTATTAGGCCGAGATATTTTAACCAAATTATCTGCTTCCCTGACTATTCCTGGACTACAGCCGCATCTCATTGCCACCCTTCTCCTCAACCCAAAGCCTCCTTCGCGTCTTCCTCTCCTATTCCCCCACCTTAACCCACAAGTATGGGACATCTCTACTCCTTCCCTGGCAACTGATCACATACCCGTTACCATCCCATTAAAACCTAATCACCCTTACCCTGCTCAATGCCAATATCCCATCCCACAGCACACTTTAAAAGGATTAAAGCCTGTTATCACTCGCCTGCTATAGCATGGGCTTCTAAAACCTATAAACTCTCCTTACAATTCCCCCATTTTACCTGTCCAAAAACCGGAAAAGTCTTACAGATTAGTTCAGGATCTGCGCCTTATCAAATTGTTTTGCCTATGCACCCTGTGGTGCCCAACCCCTACACTCTTTTGTCCTCAATACCTTCCTCCACAACTCACTATTCCATGCTTGATCTTAAAGATGCTTTTTTCACTATTCCCCTGCACCCCTCGTCCCAGCCTCTCTTCGCTTTCACTTGGACTGACCCTGACACCCATTAGGCTCAGCAAATTACCTGGGCTGTACTGCTGCAAGGTTTCACAGACAGCCCCCATTACTTCAGTCAAGCCCAAAGTTCATCCTCATCTGTTACCTATCTCGGCATAATTCTCATAAAAACACACGTGCTCTCCCTGCTGATCGTGTCTGACTGATCTCTCAAGCCCCAGCACCTTCTACAAAACAACAACTCCTTTCCTTCCTAGGCATGGTTAGCGCGGTCAGAACTCTTACACAAGAGCCAGGACCACACCCTGTAGCCTTTCTGTCCAAACAACTTGACCTTACTGTTTTAGCCTAGCCCTCATATCTGCGTGCTGTGGCTGCCGCTGCTTTAATACTTTTAGAGGCCCTCAAAATCACAAACTATGCTCAACTCACTCTCTACAGCTCTCATAATTTCCAAAATCTATTTTCTTACTCACACCTGATGCATATACTTTCTGCTCCCTGGCTCCTTCAGCTGTACTCACTCTTTGTTAAGTCCCACAATTACCATTGTTCCTGGCCCGGACTTCAATCTGGCCTCCCACATTATTCCAGATACCACACCTGACCCCCATGACTGCATCTCTCTGATCCACCTGACGTTCACCCCATTTCCCCACATTTCCTTCTTCCCTGTTTCTCACCCTGATCACACTTAGTTTATTGATGGCGGTTCCACCAGGCCTAATCGCCACACACCAGCAAAGGCAGGCTATGCTATGGTACAAGCCACTAGCCAGCCTCTTAGAACCTCTCATTTCCTTTCCATTGTGGAAATCTATCCTCAAAGAAATCACTTCTCAGTGTTGCATCAGCTATTCTACTACTCCTCATGGATTATTCAGGCCCCCTCCCTTCCCTACACATCAAGCTCAAGGATTTGCCCCCGCCCAGGACTGGCAAATTAGCTTTACTCAACATGCCCCGAGTAAGATAACTAAAATACCTCTTAGTCTAGGTAGACACTTTCACTGGGTAAGTACAGTCCTTTCCTACAGGGTCTGAGAAGGCCACCGCAGTCATTTCTTCCCTTCTGTCAGACATAATTCTTCAGTTTAGCCTTGTCATTCCCTTCTGTCAGACAAAATTCCTCAGTTCAGCCTTCCCACCTCTATACAGTCTGCTAACAGACCAGCCTTTATTAGTCAAATCAGCCAAGCATTTTTTCAGGCTCTTAGTATTCAGTGACAGACTAATGGTCTATTAAAAACACACCTCACCAAGCTCAGCCACCAACTTAAAAAGGACTGGACAATACTTTTACCATTTTCGCTTCCAGAATTCAGGCCTGTCCTTGGAATGCTACAAGATACAGCCCATTTAAGCTCCTGTGTAGACACTCCTTTTTATTAGGCCCCAGTCTCATTCCAGACACCAGACCAACTTAGATTGTGCCCCAAAAAACTTGTCATCCCTACTATCTTCTGTCTAGTCATACTCCTATTCACCGTTCTCAACTACTCACACATGCCCTGCTCTTGTTTACACTGCCAGTTTACACTGTTTCTCCAAGCCAGCACAGCTGGTATCTCCTGGTACTATCCCCATACCGCCACTGTTAACTCTTAAAATAAATAAATAATCTTTGCTGGCAAGGCTATGCTGAACCTCCTTAGGCACTTTCTAATTAGATGTCCTGAGTCGTCCCAATTCTTAGACCTTTAATACCTGTTTTTCTCCTTTCCTTATTCCCTTTAGTTTTTCAATTCATACAAAACTGTATCCAGGCCATCACCAATAATTCTAAATGACAAATGTTTCTTTTAACAATCCCACAATGTCACCCCTTACCACAAAATCTTCCTTCAGCTTAATCGCTCCCACTTTAGGTTCCCACGCCGCCCCTAATCCTGCTCAAAGCAGCCTTGAGAAACATCACCCATTATCTCTCCATACCACCCCCAAAAATTTTTGCTGTCCCAACACTTTACCCCTATTTCATTTTATTTTTCTTATTAATATAAGAAGACAGGAATGTCAGGCCTCTGAGCCCAAGCTAAGCCATCATATCCCCTGTGACCTGCACGTACACATCCAGATGGCCGGTTCGTGCCTTAACTGATGACATTCCACCACAAAAGAAGCGAAAATGGCCTGTTCCTGCCTTAACTGATGACATTGTCTTGTGAAATTCCTTCTCCTGGCTCATCCTGGCTCAAAAGCTCCCCTACTGAGCACCTTATGACCCCGACTCTGCCCGCCAGAGAACAACCCCCCTTTGACTGTAATTTTCCTTTACCTACCCACATCCTATAAAACGGCCCCACCCCTATCCCCCTTCGCTGACTCTCTTGTCAGACTCAGCCCACCTGCACCCAGGTGATTAAAAGCTTTATTGCTCACACAAAGCCTGTTTGGTGGTCTCTTCACACGGACGTGCATGAAAGGTGCGTGTATATTTTTGTAACACAATAAATAATAACAGTATACACTTTTTCTTTTAGAAGTATGCTGTTAAACAGAATTAAGAACAGGAAGTCTCAAAATTGTTTCTTTCAGGAGAGAAGACTTATTAATGGGGGAGAGTTCTGAACCACTTGCTTTGCATACTGCCACTTAGTTAAAAAATCGCATTTTAACTTAAAAATATCCAAAAATAACACAGTTTTATAATAAATTATTACGAATATCACAAAATAATAAAAATACAAGTAATGCAGAGTGGAAATGCAAAGCTATGAGTGCTAGACGGCTAACAAGTCATAACAAACAACACCAAAATTAAAGAACAAGATAGTTGTGACTTACCTTGGTCAATCACTTTCCATAGTAGTCATTCAATCCAGGATCTCATCTCTGAAAATGAAGGAAAAAAGCAACAGAAAATAGTGTAGAGGTCTCTGGTGTTCCAAGAATAGGCGCTGCAGAGAGATGTGGGTGCCTGGGCTGTGCCCAGTCACTGAAATGGCACACCTGATGCTACCTGTTCACTTCGGGCTGAGCAGGAGAGAGAAAAGACGTTCCCCTCAGCCACTTCCCGTCTTCTGATTTCACTTCTTGCCTGCCTCCGACTGCAAATCCTGGTTTGACGTCACTTCCTGTCTTCTGATTTTACTTCCTGTATGACCTCACTTCCTGTCTTCTACAACCACTTCCTGTCTTCTTACTTCACTTCCTGTCTTCTGACTTTACTTCCTGTATGACTTCACTTCTTGTCTTCTACCACCACTTCCTGTCTTCCGAATTTACCTCCTATCTTGACTTCACTTCTTGTTTTTTTTTTTTTTTTTTGACAGGGTCTCGCTCTGTCTCCTAGGGTGGAGTGCAGTTGTGCCAGCTTGAAACCACCTTTCCAAAATTATGACTGAGACAGTGAAAGAGATTTAACTGACTCCATTTTGCTTCTAACCTCCAAGCTGTCCTTTTTCATTCCTGGGCATAGGCTGAACTTTGGGAGAAACTTATAGTTTAAACAAAGATGATAGCCCTTTTCCAAAGCACACCTCTTTGTTGCCTGGGGACTAGATTGGCCCTGTAGGACGAACATTAGCCACGAGATTAGAAATTATGACTTAGGAGTCATGCAGCTGGAGGCTACAAGATTGTGACCCTCCCTAAACTGCTTCTAAGATCAGCGTTTAACTTGCAGACCCTGTACTTGATGGATCAGCTGGCACCACCCATATCAATAAACTGGCCCATCTTATCTTTTGGCCTCCACTCAGGAACTGAGTGCAAGAAGATAGCTTTGGCTCCCACGATTTCATCCCTGACCAAACAGCACTCCTGGCTCACTGGCTTCCCACCCACCCACCAAGTTATCCTTAAAAACGCTTCCTGAATGCTGGGAGACACTGATTTGAATAATAATAAAACTCTGGTCTCTCGTAGAGCCAGCTCTGCATGAATTATTCTCTATTGCGATTCCCTGTCTTGACGAATCAGCTCTGTCTAGGCAGTGGGCAAGGTGAACACATTGGACTATTACAATCTTGGCTCACTGCAACCTCCACCGCCTGGGTTCAAGTGATTCTCCTGCCTCAGACTCCCAAGTAGCTGAGATCACAGACGTGCACTACCATGCTCAGCTACATTTTTTTTTCTGTCCCCCGGGCTGGAGTGCAATGGTGCGATCTCGGCTCATTGCAACCTCCGCCTTCCGGGTTTAAGCGATTCTCCTGCCTCAGCCTCCAGAGTAGCTGGGATTACAGGCATGCACCACCAAGCCTGGCTACTTTTGGTATTTTTAGTAGAGACAGGGTTTCACCATGTTGGCCAGGCTGGTCTCAAACTCCTGACCTCATGTGATCCACCTGCCTCTGCCTCCCAAAGTGCTGGGATTACAGGTGCGATCCACCATGCCCAGCCCATTCCGTCTTCTGACTTGACTTCCTGCCTGACTTCACTTCCTGAAGGATGTGGTTACCATGGAAGTTGTTTTGGGGCACAGGATGTGGTCTGGGATTGGGGATTGTGAAAAGCAAGACCCTCACCGGGGTCTTTCTTCCAGAGCTGCAGCTGAGCCACAGGATCTTGAACAGGAGAGAGTTCTTCCTATTCTTGTGGAAGAGCTGAGGATTGAGAAAAGCGCGGCTTAGCTCATGGGAGTGACCTTAGCTTTGAGAAGCCTGAAAATGAGGCTTGGAGGTAGAGAGTGGTGTGTGTGTGTGCGCGTTGGGGGAGGGGGTCAGGCTCTCATGACTTCTGGCTCTTTTTTTTGCTCCAGGAACATTTCCCAAGCCCACCATCTGGGCTAACCCAGCCCTCGTGGTTCCTGGGTGCAAACATGGCCGTGGAATTGTGGAATGGTTTTTTTTGTATCCTTAGCAGAGAACCCAGTGAATACTTTGTTCTTGATCATCAATGTGATGAGATCCAGAGCAAGCAAGTGCTAATGCTGCTGTGAGCCTGAGGCCACATTTTCAGAATTCAGTGATGGGCGGAGGCGAGTGGTCACAGGTATAGGGAGAGCAGTACTTGTTCATCTCTGAACGTATAGATTCAGACACACATGAACCCATGTGCCACAGGTTTCCCTGTTTAGGACTTGTAGGTCATGGGGGTGGGCATCTGAGAGTGTGGCTACATGAAATACACACGTTGGAGAAAGATGGTTAATTGTGAGTGCGAGTTTACATTTCATGGGCCCCTGGGGTGTCGATAGTTCCTCAATGGATGTAGATCCGTTACTCAATTTCTTCTCTAAAGATGGGGCTAGATTACAATGGTTCTCAACCTAAGAAAACTTTGCATTTCAGGAAATATTTTCTACTGCCCAGAGACATTTTTGATCACTGTTAACTGTGAGGATGTGAGCTGGTATCTAGGGGGTAGAGGCTAGGGATGGTGCCGAACACCCTGGAAATGTACAGGACGTTTCCCAACGAGTAGTGATCCGATCCCAAATGTCAATAGTGTGGAGAAGGAGAAACCTTTAGTTTCTTCACGCAATGTCCTTTTTAAACTTTGTGCCTCTCTTTTTACCAACCTTCCCCCTTCTTCCCGCTGAAACTGAGAATAAAGATGCTCTGGAGGCCGGGCACGGTAGCTTATGTCTGTAATCCCAGCACTTTGGGAGACCGAGGCAGGCAGATCGCTTGAGGTTAGGGGTTCGAGACCAGCCTGGCCAGCGCGGTGAAACCCTGTCTCTACTAAAAATGCAAAAATTATCCGGGAGCCTGAGGCAGAATTGCTTGAACTTGGGAGGCAGAGGCTGCAGTAAGCCGAGGTCACACCACTGCACTCCAAACCGGGCAATGGAGCGAGACTGTCAAAAAAAAAAAAAAATGCTCAGGGAATGACCCATGCCGCATTGAACAAGGACACCTTGAACCAGGAAACCTCAGAAGCCCACACTGTATGCAGTGGAACTGGAAAGTGATGGAGTGGTTTAAAGGTAGTATCAGAGAACTTGGATCTAGTCGGTGGGAATAAACCAATAGCCCCTGATGAAGAAATGAAAGTAGGAAGAGAGATTAACTTTTTTAGTTTTAAATTTAAATATTAAAACTACTTTTGACCAGGTGTGGTGGCTCATGCCTATAATCCCAGCATTTGGGGAGGCCAAGGTGGGCAGATCACCTGAGCTCAGGAGTTCAAGACCAGTCTGGACAACGTGGCAAAACCCTATCTCTACCAAAAATGCAAAAATTACCTGGGTGCAGTGGTGCACACCTGTGGTCCCAGCTACATGGGAGGCTGAGATGGGAGAACTGCTTAAACTGGGGAGGTGGAGGCTGCAGTGACCCGAGATCGTGCCATTGCATTCCAGCCTGGGTGAAAGAGCAAGATTCTGCCACCAAAAAAAAAAAAAAAAAAAAAAAAAAAAAAGAAAAAAATGTTGCCAGGTGCGGTGACTTATACCTGTAATCCCAGCACTTTGGGAGACCAAGGCTGGTGGATCACCTGAGGTCGGGAGTTCGAGACCAGCCTGACCAACATGGAAAAACCCCGTCTCTGCTAAAAATTCAAAATTAGCCAGGCTTGGTGGCACATGCCTATAATCCCAGCTACTCAGTAGGTCGAGGCAAGAGAATCGCTTGAACCCGGGGAGGCGGAGGTTGCAGTGAGCCAAAATCGTGCCATTGCACTCCAGCCTGGGCAACAAGAAGAAACTGTCTCAAAACAAACAAAAAAAAACATGATTAGTGTTTAATAAAAATTTGTACTGTTCTTTTTCCCCCTTACCGTCCATTTGTTTGCTCATCCAGTAAACACAGACAGCAACAAAGTCTCCCCATGAGAAGCAACTTTGCCAACTAGTGTTGTCTTTATAGTACAGTTCGTTTTGTTTGTGGTTTTACAGCGTAGAGCTTGCACTGCTGCTTTGTTGAATTTGGAATTCTGTATCACAAGGAAATAATGGAGACTCTATAGTGAAAAACTATGCATACCATGAGATTTTGTTTTTTTTTGGAGAAGGAGTCACTCTGTTGCCCAAGCTGGAATGCAGTAGTGCAGTCTTCAGCACAGTGCAACATCCACCTCCTGGGTTTAAGCAATTCTCCTGCCTCAGCCTCCCAAGTAGCTGGGATTACAGGCATGTGCCACCATGCCTGGCTAATTTTTTATATTTTTAGTAGAGACGGGGTTTCACCACGTTGGCCAGGTTGGTCTCCAACTCCTGACTTCGTGATCCACCCACCTCAGCCTCCCGAAGTGCTGGGATTACAGGTGTGAGCCACCGTGCCTGGCCGAGATTCTATTTTAAGTTAGAATTTTTAAAAAGCAAAATCAGAGCAATGACATGGTCATATATGAGCTACACCGAAGCACCTAAAATATTGTAGATTGGTAGGAGAAATCCTCTGGCAAGTAATACTCAGCAGGCAGTGATCCACGCAGGTCAACAAGTAACAAGACAGGCTAGGCACAGTGGTTCACACCTGTAATCCTAGCACTTTGGGAGGCTGAGGCAGGAATATTACTTGCGCCTGGGAGTTTGAGATCAGCCTGGGCAACATAGTGAGACCCTGTCTTCAAAAAAAATCCCACAAAAATTGGCCTGGTTTGGTGGTGTGCACCTGTAGTCCCAGCTACTGAGGAGGCTGAGGCTGGAGGATCGCTTGAACCTGGGAGCTTGAGGCTGCAGTGAGCTATCATCATGCTGCTGTATTCCAGCCTGGGCAACAGAGCAACACTCATGCTTGAGGAAAAAGAAAAAGAAAAAAAAAAAAGCCGGGTACAGTGGCTCATGCCTGTAATCCCAGCACTCTGGGAGGCTGAGGTGGGTGGATCACTTGAGGTCAGGAGTTTGAGACCAGACTGGCCAACATGGTGAAACCTCATCTCTATTAAAAATACAAAAAAATTTAGCCGGGTGTGGTGGGGGATGCTTGTAATCCCAGCTACTCAGGAGGCTGAGACAGGAGAATCGCTTGAACCTGCCAGGTTGTAGTAAGCTGAGATCGTGCCAGTGTACTCCAGCGTGGGCAACAGAGTGAAACTCAGTCTAAAAAAAAAAAAAAAAAAAAAGAAAAGAAAAAAGAAAGGAAATACCAAGGCAAGGCAAAGATTGACAAGGCAATAGAAATCAATGCAATTAAACACTGTCACTTCCCCCACCCCCCAGGTTCTACCCAGTAAGATATCTTTTCTCTAACTTGTCAAAGCCCATTATTAAGTAACAGCTTCATTTGTGAATGCTCTCACCTTTATTTCTCTCAATATACCCGTGATACAGATATTTCATATGTAACAAAGATAAGGATGTGTGCAGGTATAAAACAGAGGCAGAATCATGGCTAAAACATCTAGCCCAGCAATGAACTCATTATCCCTGAGGGGTAGGGGCCGGGGAGGAGAGGAGTCACAGGCAGTTCACCAACACCTGGAAAATCGATGACTTCATGGAGAATGAATGACTCGGGGGGATTCAGATCATGAAGTCATGAGAAGAAGGCCTTTCTGCCCAGGGATGATGTTTCTCAGTATCAATAATCAGTTGTGGGTTTTTTTCTTCTATTTCTTCCAGCAGCTTATTGAGTTCATCATTAAAGTCATCGATTTTCAACCTGGGGTACAATGGGGGAAGAAAAGGTTACTTTGTGCATCAAGGAGATTTGTTTCAAATTCCCAAGTACCTGAAAGTCTGTTAAGGAGGCACAGGGCATGGGTCACCTTTCCTGATTATTCTAGGTGGCAAAGGAGTGTTCCACATTGATTTTTTTTTTTTTTTTTTAAAAGACAGTCTCAGGTGGGGCGTGATGGCTCACGCCTGTAATTCCCAGCACTTTAGGAGGCTGAGGCGGGTGGATCACGAGGTCAGCAGATCAAGACCATCCTGGCTAACACGGTGAAACCCTGTCTCTACTAAAAAAATACAAAAAATTAGCCGGGCGTGGTGGCGGACGCCTGTAGTCCCAGCTACTCAGGAGGCTGAGGCAGGAGAATGGTGTGAACCCGGGAGGCGGAGCTTGCAGTGAGCCGAGATCGTGCCACTGTACTCCAGCCTGGGCGATCTCAAAAAAAAAAAAAAAAAAAAAAAAAAAAAAAAAAAAAAAGACAGTCTCTCTGTTGCCCAAGCTGGAGTGCAGTGGTACCATCTCAGCTCACTGCAACCTGTGCCTCTTGGGTTCAAGCCATCCTATCCTCTGCCTCCCGAGTAGCTGGGACTACAGGCACCTGCCACCATGCTCAGCTAATTTTTGTATTTTTAGTAGAGTTGGGGTTTTACCATGTTGCCTAAACTGTACCTGGCTTGATTTGCTTATTTTTTATTTTTAAATATAAAATGAGGCCAGATGTGGTGGGTCATGCCTGTAATGCCAGCACTTTGGGAGAGTGAGGTGGGCAGATCACTTGAGGTCAGGAGTTTGAGACCAGCCTAGGCAAGATGGTGAAAGTCCATCTCTACTAAAAATATAAAAGTTAGTTGGGTGTGATGGTGCATCCCTATAATCCCAGCTACTCAGGAAGCTGACACAGGAGAATCACTTGAACCTGGGAGGCGGAGGTTACAGTGAGCTGAGATCGGGCCCCTGCACTCCAGCCTGAGCAATAGAGTGAGATTTTTGTCTAAAAAATAAATGAAGTAAATAATAAAATGTAATATTAAAGACTTTCATTTCTCTTTTTAATCCTTTTTTTCATTCCTCTTATTCTCAACCATGTTGATCTGATAGAGAAAAACATAACATCAGGTTAACCTTGTAATGGTATATAGCCATTGTGCAGTTTGAGATGCTTGTTGATTATCATACACAGAAAATGGAATTGCTGAGTACAGCTGGGCTATAGCTCTAATACCTGCTTACCCGCTCTATCACCCACTTTGGCAACTTCTACTCAGTGGACCCCGGAGTACCAGTTAAACAGAGGAGATGCAGGCCAGGCATGGTGGCTCACGCCTGTAATCTTAGCACTTTGGGAGGCTGAGGCAGGCGGGTCACCTGAAGTCAGGAGTTCGAGACCAGCCTGACCAATATGGAGAAACCCTGTCTCTATTAAAAATACAAGATTAGCCAGGTGTGGTGGCACATGCCTGTAGTCCCAGCTACTTGGGAGGCTGAGGGAGGAGAACCTCTTGAACCCGGGAGGCGGAGGTTGCAGTAAGCCGAGATAGCGCCATTGCGCTCCAGGCTGGACAACAAGAGTAAAACTCTGGCCGGGCGGGGAGGTGGGGGGGTCAGCCCCCCGCCCAGCCAGCCGCCCTGTCCGGGAGGTGAGGGGCGCCTCTGCCCGGCCGCCCCTAATGGGAAGTGAGGAGCCCCTCTAACCGGCCAGCCGCCCTGTCCGGGAGGGAGGTGGGGGGGTCAGCCCCCCATTTTGTTCTGTACTAAGAAAAATTCTTCTGCCTTGGGATCCTGTTGATCTGTGACCTTACCCCCAACCCCGTGCTCTCTGAAACATGTGCTGTGTCCACTCAGAGTTAAACGGATTAAGGGCGGTGCAAGATATGCTTTGTTAAACAGATCCTGAAGGCAGCACGCTCGTTAAGAGTCATCACCACTCCCTAATCTCAAGTACCCAGGGACACAAACGCTGCGGAAGGCCGCAGGGTCCTCTGCCTAGGAAAACCAGAGACCTTTGTTCACTTGTTTATCTGCTGACCTTCCCTCCACTATTGTCCTATGACCCTGCCAAATCCCCCTCTGTGAGAAACACCCAAGAATGATCAATAAAAAAAAAAAAAAAAAAAAAGGAAAAAAAAAAAAAAAAAAGAAAAAAGATGCACCCCAAAAAAAAGAGTAAAACTGTCTCCAAAATAAATAATAAATAAACAAACAAACAAACTTAAAGCTTAAAAAAACCCTTAGTGTCCATATGTCTTTTGACTTACAAAGTATCTTAGGCTGAGTTTCATGTTAAATAAACAAGTAATCTATGTTTCTTCTACATAAAGATTATTTTAAGCCAGCAGTAGAGTATATTGCTTGTGAGAATTTCTGAAGTTCCCACATTCCTAGGAAGGGGCTTCTTGGTTCTTTGATGCCATGGTATCAAAATACAACTCAGGCCGGGTGCGGTGGCTCATGCCTGTAATCCCAGCACTTTGGGATGCTGAGGTGGGCAAATCACGGAGGTCAGGAGTTTGAGACCACCCTGGCCAACATGGCAAAACCCTGTCTCTACTAAAAATACAAAAATTACCTAGGTGTGGTGGTGCATGCCTGTAATCCCAGCTACTTGGGAGGCTGAAGCATGAGAATAGCTGGAACCTGGGAGGTGGAGGTTGCAGTTAGCAACCACTGCACCCCAGCCTGGGCAACAGAGTGAGACTCCATCTCAGAAAAAAAAAAAAAAAAAGAAAGAAAAAACAAAACAAAACCCCAAAACCCTGACAAAATGCAACAAACAAAACACAGCCCAGTGACAAATGGCTATCATGAGCAGGTAGACGGCAGCCGTGGCTGGGTGCAATGGTTCATGCTTATAAACCTACCTACTCAGGAACTGAGGCAGGATTGCTTGAGCCCAGGAGCTGGAGCGAGCCTGCAGCGAGCCATCATTGTGCTGCTGGACTCCAGCCTGGGGAACATAGTGAGTTCTTGCCTCAAAGGAAAAAAAAAAAAAAGGTGGCCGGGTGCGGTTGCTCACGCCTGTAATCCCAGCACTTTGGGAGGCCGAGGCGGGCGGATCACCTGAGGTCAGGAGTTTGAGACCAGCCTGACCAACATGGTGAAACCCCGTTTCTCCAAGTGAAATACAGAAATTGGCTGGGTGTGATGGCGGGAACCTGTAATCCAGCTACCAGATCAGTCTCCTACAGCAGGTCCATGTCATTATGCTTCCCCTAAACCTACCACTCTGGAGAAAGCCTGATGGGGAAGTAAATGGATCATACCTGAGTGTCCGGAGGGTGCCACTGGAACATGTCAAGGTTTCAAACAGCATCTTCACTCCACTAGACCCCAAGGGATTCTGACCCAGGTCCAGAGTGACGAGGCTCTGGTTGCAGCTGAGGGCAGAGCAGAGGTCTTCACAACTGAACGGAGGGATGGAACATCCCCACAACCTGGGGAAACACAGAAATCAACACGTTAATGCAGCCAGTGCTGATCGATGCCCTCCGGCAAGCCAAGCCCACCCTCGTGTGTTGGGGATCTGCATGACCAACAGAAGTCTCAGGCCGGGCACGGTGGTTCACGCCTGTAATCCCAGCACTTTGGGAGGCCGAGGTGGATGGATCACCTGAGGTCAAGGAGTTCAAGACCAACCTAACATGGTAAAACCGTGTCTCTACTAAATATACAGAAGTTAGCTGGGCGTGGTGACAGGCACCTGTAATCCCAGCTACTCAGGAGGCTGGGGCAGGAGAATCGCTTGAACCCAGGAGGCGGAGGTTGCAGTGAGCCGAGATCGCGCCATTGCACTCCAGCCTGGGTGACAGAGTGAGACTCCGGTCTCAAAAAACAAACAAAACGTCTCCGCCCTCAGGGCTCATCTGCTAACAGGAAAATATGGAGGCGATGAGGGGTTCTGAAGGGCAAGGGGTACAGGGAATAACTGGGGGTTCTGGCTACAATGGTTGGAGGTGAGGGGGTGAAGAGACCGAGTCATAGAGCTCGGGGGGGAGTTCTCCAGGCAGAGAAATAGCTTGTGCAGAGGCCCTGAAGATACATGTGACTGACACGTAAAATAGAACATCCAGGCAGCGGGCATGAGTGAGACAGGGAGGATTGTCAAGATGAGGTCATAGGTAAGCAGTGGCCAGCTCACAGAAGACCCTGAAGCCATCGTCAATATAGGATTTTACCTGGATTGACATAGGGAAGCACTGAGGCTTTTGAGCAGAGAGGTTAAATAACTTCCATCTTTGAAGTTATTCTTTGAGACAGTCTTGCTCTCTCGCCAGGGCTGGAGTGCTGTGGCATGATCTCGGCTCACTGTAGCCTCTGCCTCCTGGATTCAAGCAGTTCTCGTGCCTCCAAGTAGATGAGATTATAGCTATGTGCCACCATGCCTGCCTGATTTTTGTGGTTTTAGAGAGACAGGGTTTCACCTGTCTCTTTAGTAGAGACAGGCTGGTCTACGAACTCCTGACCTTAGGTGATCCACCTGCCTCGGCCTCCCAAAGTGCTGGAATTACAGGCATGAGCCACTGCACCCTGCCACTTTATTTTTTGAAACACGGTCTCACTCGGTTGCCCAGGCTGGAGTGTGGTAACGCCATCTTGGCTCACTGCAGCCTTGACCTCCTGGGCCAACCAGCAACTCAAACTTTTTGCTCCTCTACACGTGTCAGTGAGTGATTAAAAAGGCGCCTTTGTTTTTTTTGTTTTTTTTTTTTTTTTGAGACAGGATCTCACTGTCACCCAGGCTGGAGTGAGGTGACGTGATCTCAATTCGCTGTAACTTCTTCCTCCCAGGCTCAAGTGATCCTCCCACCTCAGCCTCCTGAGTAACTGGGAGCAGAGGTACACAGCCATGCTCAGCGGATTTTTGTACTTTCAGTAGAGACAGGGCTTCATTGTGTTGGCCAGGCTGTTTTTAAATTCTTGGCCTCAAGCAATCTACCTGCCTTGGACTCCCAAAATGCCAGGATTACAGGCATGAGCCACCTTGCCCATCCCGAGTCAAATTCTTTTAAGATTGCCTCCCAGATAGGATTCCAGGTTCAAGTGCATCTGATTGTAGCTAACTCACAAGGTATTTGTAAGATAGCCAAGTTGAGACCACTCACCTGCTGATAGAGCCAGCATTTTCTGGCACGATATCTAATTCCTACCTCTTTTTTATTTTTTCCTGAGATGGAGTCTTGCTCTTGTAGCCCAGGATGGAGTGTAGTGACAGGATCTCAGCTCACTGCAACCTCTGCCTCCAGGGTTCAAGTGATTCTCCTGCCTCAGCCTCCCAAGTAGCTGGGATTAAAGGCACCTACTGGCTGGGCACGGTGGCTCTCACCTGAGGTCCGGAGGTCGAGACCAGCCTGACCAACATGGAGAAACCCCGTCTATACTAAAAATACAAAATTAGCCAGGCATGGTGGCACATGCCTGTTTATTTGCAGCTATGTGGGAGGCTAAGGCAGGAGAATCACTTGAACCCAGGAGGTGGAGGTTGCAGTGAGCTGAGATCGCGCCATTACACTACAGCCTGGGCAACAAGAGTGAAACTATCTCAAAAAAAAAAAAAAAAAAAAAAGAGGCACCCACTACTATGCTCGGCTAATTTTTATATTTTAGTAGAGATGGAGTTTCAAGTTGGCCAGGCTGGTCTTGAGCTCCTGACCTTAAGTGATCCGCCCGCTTCGGCCTCCCGAAGTGCTGGGATTACAGGTATGAGCCACTGTGCCTGGCCCAATTCCCACCTCTCTGAATGTGGGGTGCTGGGCAGTGGCTTTTGGCTGAATGGCTTGAGGCACTGTATCCTTAAAATTTCACAGGTGTTCTTTGCATGACACAGACTAGAACTTAGACATAGGGCCTGGCGCAGTGGCTCACGCCTGTAATCCCAGCACTTTGGGAGGCCGAGATGGGCGGATCACCTGAGGTCAGGAGTTTGAGATGAACCTTCAACATGGCGAAACCCTGTCTCTACTAAAAATACAAGAATTAGCTGGGCATGGTGGCGGGCGCCTGTAATCCCAGCTACTCGGGAAGCTGAAGCAAGAGAATTGCTTGAACCTGGGAGGCGGAGGTTGCAGTGAGCCAAGATCACGCCACTGCACTCCAGCCTATGTGACAAGAGCAAAACTTCAAGAAAAAAAAAAACAAAAACTTAGACATAGACTAGAACTTATTCCTTTAACCATCCTAGTAAATGCTCGATCGACTCTATAAAGGTCCTCTCAATTATATAACTTGGGAAGTCGGCTTCACTGATTATTTTACACTAGCCACAGATTCAGTAAGGTGTAAGTATAGGAAGTTGAACTTATAAGTTAACTCACCACAGACATCTCAAGTTGCACAGTGGTTTCCTCAAAGCCTCACACAGGAACTTCATTCCCTTAACTCCTATGTGATTCAGCCCCAGATCCAAACACAACAGGCTTGATTTTTCTTGGAGAAGCTTTGTGAGATCGCAGCAGCCATCGCTAGTTATGTCGCAGTTCCAAAGCCTAGAAATCAACCACAGGAAGAAAGCAAACCCGAACCTGTGAGTTCTCACTGCTGTGATGCACCTTTGACTCTTGAGCCGTGGGTTAGACACACTTAGAGACAGTGGTGACATGGAAATGGAATCATGGGGTGGTGTGGTGGACAGAAGAATGGCCTCCCCTAAAGATGTCCAAGTCCCAACTCCTGGCACCTGCGAGCAAAAGGGACCTCGTAGAGGTGACTGAGCATCTTAAGATGGTTTATATCCTGGTTTATTTGGGTAGGTCCAGCAATCACAGGGATCCTCATAAGAGGGAGCTGAGAGTCAAAGCCAGCAGGAGGTGACGTGATAAGGGAGCCAGGGCAACGTTTGAAGATGCTCTGCCGAAGTTGGAGGAAGGGCCACAAGCCAAGGAATGCAGGTGGCCAACAGAAGTTGGAGAAGTAAAAAGGATTCTCAGCTGGCACGGTGGCTCACTTCAACCTCCGCCTCCTGGTTTCACGCGATTCTTGTGCCCCAGCCTTCCGAGTAGCTGGGATTACAGGGGGGTGTGTGTGTGTACACACATGCGCGTGCCACCACACCCAGCTAAGTTTTGTATTTTTAGTAGAGACAGGGTTTCCCCATGTTGGCCAGGCTGGTCTTGAACTCCCGACCTCAGATGATCTGCCCACCCTGGCCTCCCTAACATGCTGGGATTACGATTGTATTTGCTAAATTCAGTTGCTAGAGAGGTAGTGTCTTACAGGCAGAAGACACCAGCTCACACTCCAACATATCTGGTACTAGGATCCTAGATATTAACCAACACAGATTATCAGAGATATTTCACCTTAGCTCTGTTTTCTTTCTTCTGTCTCAATAGAGTTCTAAACTTAATTATAATTTGAACTATAATGCCCATGTATCTCTGGGTCCCAAGTGAAGCATACCACTAGCTGAGGGACACAGGACCTGGAAGGGCCTTGGAAATAGATGGCAGATTGGAGTCCATGACGATGGAGAAGTGAAAACACACCCCCAAATCTTGAAACTTTATGAATGTATAGAAACTTTTTTTTTTTTTTTTTTGAGACAGTCTCGCTCTGACACCCAGGCTGGAGTACAGTGGCACAATCTCAGCTCACTGCAACTTCCGCCTCCCAGGTTCAAGCAATTCTCTGCCTCACCCTCCCAAGTAAGCTGGGATTACAGGCTCCGACACCACGCCTGGCTAATTTTTGTATTTTTAGTAAAGACAGGGTTTCACCATGTTGGCCAGGCTGGTCTTGAACTCCTGACCTCATGATCCACCTGCCTCGGCCTCTCAAAGACCCTACCCGGCCTTCTAGAAACTTCCATGACTGTAATGGAGGAAAACCCACATAAGACTAAAGGGAAGTTGACAACTTAGCAAAATAGGGGCATGGATCAAAAAGTTGAATTGAGGGGGCCGGCACGGTGGCTCACACCTGTAATCCCAGCACTTTGGGAGGCTGAGGTGGGTGGATCACCTGAGGTCAGGAATTCGAGACCAGCTTGACCAACATGGTGAAAACTCGTCTCTACTAAAAATAAAGAAGTTAGCTGGGCGTGGTGGCATGCACCTTAATCCCTGGGAGGCTGAGGCAGGAGAATCACACCTGAACTCAGGAGGTGGAGGTTGCAGTGAGCTGAGATGGAGCCACTGCATTCCAGCCTGGGCGACAGAGCAAGACTATCAAAAAAAAAAAACCAAAAAAAAAAAAAAAAGAAAACCCCCCCCCCCCCAAAAAAATACCACACACACCACACACCACACACACACACAACCAAAAAAACTAGACATTCATTTGAAGATACAGTTAGTGAGTCGGTGACATCTCACTGCTTGTGGGACTTCTTTTTTAATGTTTCAGGGCCTAGATATAGTGGGTGTGGGAAGAATCCTTTCCTTCTACTCATCGTCTCCAGCCATGAACTGAATATGTCATTAAATTTAAGTGGGTAGTTTTCAGATGCCAGGTACATATCCTAGATTAGTTACTTCATAGGAAGAGGACAGTTCCTAACTGTTGGAGGTGATGTTAGAGACAAAGAATACCAGAGATATGTATGGCTGGACGCAGTGGCTCATGCCTGTAAATCCTAGCACTTTGGAAGGCTGAGGCGGGCGGATCATGAGGTCAGTTCGAGACCAACCTGGCCAACATGGTGAAATCCCATCTCTACTAAAAATATAAAAATTAGCCCGGCGTGGTGGTGAGTGCCTGTAATCCCAGCTACTCAGGAGGCTGAGGCAGGAGAATCAACCTCCTTGAAGCCGGAGGTTGCAGTGAGCCTAGATCATGCCATTGCCAGCGTGGGCAAGAGTAAAACTCCATCTTAAAAAAAAAAAAAAAAAATACCAGAGATGTTAACATAAAATCGAATCTCTGAACAGAAACCATCAGTGCAGATACAATTTTTTTTTTTTTTTGAGACAATCTCGTTCTGTCACCCAGGCTGGCACGATCTCGGCTCACTGCAACCTCCCGACTTCAAGCGATTCTCCTGCCTCAGCCTCCCAAGTAGCTGGGATTACAGGACCATACCACCACGCCTAGCTAATTTTTGTATTTTTAGTAGAGACAGGGTTTCACTGCATCAGCCAGGCTGGTCTCAAACTCCTGACCTCAGGTGTTCTGCCCGCCTCCTAAAGTGCTGAGATTACAGGCATGAGCCACCATGCCAGGCCCCAATTCCTTTCTAAAGATTTGTCCTATAATTTTTTTTTTTTGAGAGAGTCTTGCTCTATTGGCCAGACTGGACTTCAGTGGTGCCATCTCAGCTCACTGCAACCTCCACCTCCGAAGTTCAAGTGATTCTCCTGCCTTAGCCTCCTGAGTAACTGGGATTACAGGCATGTCCCACCATGCGTGACTAATTTTTGTATTTTTAGTAGAGAGACAATGTTTCACCATGTTGGGCAGGCTGGTCTTGAACTCCTGCCCTCAAGGGATCTGCCTTGCTTCGGCCTCCCAAGGTGATGGGATTATAGGCGTGAGCCACTATGCCAGGCCACGTGTCCTGTGATTTTAGTATTAAAAGGAGGATCACATTGAGCATGTAGCTTCCAATAGCTTCCATTGGGAGTCTGAGCGTACACTGGCCCAGAAGACTACCTGATTTGCAAATCATTCATTAAAAAATAAGTAAATGAATTCCATTTACAACCAATTGCATGCAATTTATGTTACAGTTATAGTTCTAAGAACACAGATTAAGAGAAAACACAGCATGGGGTGACATGGCTCATGCCTGTAATTCTAGCACTTTGGGAGGCCAAGGCAGGCAGATCTCTTGAGCTCAGGAGTTTGAGACCAGCCTAGGCAACACGGCGAGATCCCATCTCTAAAATACATACATACATAAAGAGGAAAAAAAAAACCCGAAAACCAGCTACATTCCCCAAATCCCTATAGAATATTACTACTACTCTACTACTACTTATACTTTTTTCCTACCATCATCTACCCAGGTCTTACCAGTTGTCATTAGCATCATGCTTGGAACTTTTAGAGGAATTAAGTGTTCTCATAACCACCCTACTCAAACCCGGAGGTGGGGGGCGTGTGCATATACACCCACGCACACAGGCAGCCAGCACGGACTTACACCAAGGTCTGCAGTTTACACTCGGGGTACCTCAAGCCCTCACACAGAAACTTCACCCCTGTATTCCCAATGGGGTTCTTGGCCAAGCACAGGTGTGTCAGCTCCCGGCTGACAACCAACACAGCAGCAAGGTCCTTGCAATTGGCTTCTGTAAGGTGACAGTTTTCCAACCTACAAAAGAATCACAAATGGCAACACGGTTGACAGGTCCAACTTCAACCTTCCCGGCTAGCTCCACAAGTGCCAGCATCCAAAAGCCCCTTCTTGTGAACTCCCCACCTTCTATCATGCACTGGTGATCCTATGAAGGAATAGGAATGAGAGAAGAACAAAATTCACAGGCCATCGGCCTGGATCTAAACATGGGAACAGGTGTTCACATCAGCGAGAGGTTCCATACAGCCAAGTCAGGCATGACCATTGCTCGTCTGTGGCCCCAGATCGAAAGCACAGCTGCTCTGTAAGAGAGGAGAGACTTACGACAACCTCTGCAGAAAGCACTTGGGGTGTCTCAAAGTTGTGTACAGCAACTTAGCACCCTCATCCAGAAGCTCATTGTCGGAGAGGTTTACGCACGTCAGGGACTGGTTGACTTCAAGGGCCAAGGAGAGATCAGCCCACTGCTGAGTGGTAGCGGAACAAGACACCAACCTGTGGGAGAAATAGGACCACGTCATTTTTTTTTTTTTTTTGAGACTGAGTCTCACTCTTGTTGCCCAGGTGGCGCAATCTCGGCTCACAGCAACCTCCGCCTCCTGGGTTCAAGTGATTCTCCTGCCTCAGCCTCCCGAGTAGCTGGGACTGCAGGCATGCACCATGCACCAACATGCCCAGCTAATTTTGTATTTTCAGTAGAGGTGGGGGTCTCTCCATGTTGGTCAGGCTGGTCTCAAACTCCCAATCTCAGGTGATCTGCCCACCTCGGCCTCCCAGAGTGCTGGGATGACAGGCGTGAGCCACCGCGCCCGGCAGAACAAGTCATTCTTGAGAATCTAACCGTGGAATCGTCTTTGGTTTACATCTCACTGGTTGTGTTATACCCCGACTTGAATTATCTGGAGCAGCAGTTGTCAAAGGGTGGTCAGACCAGTGGCACCAACATCGCCCAGGAATCAGCTGGAAATACAGAACTTAGTCAATCTGACTCTAATGTTGGATGCAGACTCCGCTAACCTATGTTTCATTGTTTGGTTTTTTGAAAGGGAGTTATTTATGCTCTGTCGCCCTGGCTGGAGTGTAGTGGCGCGATCTCAGCTCACAGCAACCTCTGCCTCCCAGATTCAAGAGATTCTCCCGCCTCAGCCTCCTGAGTAGCTGGGATTACAGGCAAATGCCATCTTGCCTGGCTAATTTTTGTATTTTTTAGTAGAGATGGGGTTTTACCATGTTGGCCAGGCTGGTCTCAAACTCCTAACTTTGGCCGGGGCAATGGCTCATGCCTGTAATCCCAGCACTTTGGGAGGCCGAGGTGGGCAGATCAGGAGGTCAGGAGTTTGAGACCATCCTGGCCAACATGGTGAAACCCCGGCTCTACTAAACATACAAAAGTTAGATGGGCGTGGCGACACGTGCCTGTAGTCCCAGCTACTCAGGAGGCTGAGGCAAGAGAATCACTTGAACCCAGGAGGCGGAGGTTGCAGTAAGCCGAGATCACTCCACTGCACTCTAGCCTGGGCGACAGAGCAAGACTCCGTCTCAAAACAAAAAACTCCTGACTTCAAGCGATACACCAGCCTAGGCCTCCCAAAGTACTGGGATTACAGGCAGGAGCCACCATACCCAGCCCACTAACCTATGTTTCAAGGTGCCCTGTTCATCCGGAAAATGTGTTAGAATAAATTCATAAGAAATGAGTGGCTGGGCACAGTGGCTCATGCCTGTAATCCCAGGACTTTGGCAGGCCAAGGCAGGTGGATCATGAGGCCAGGAGTTTAAGACCAGCCGGAACAACATGATGAAACCCCATTTCTCCTAAAAATACAAGAATTAGCTGGGCGTGGTGGCACATGGCTGTAATCCCAGCATTTTGGAAGATGGATGTCACTTGAGGTCAGGAGTTCGAGACCAGCCCAGCCAACACGGTGAAACCCCGGCTCTACTAAATATACCAAAAATTAGCTGGGTGTGGTGGATTGCCCGAGGTCAGGAGTTTGAGACCACCCTGGCCACCAGCATGGCGTAACCCTGTCTCTACTAGAAATACAAAATACTAGAAATACAAAAATACAGGTGGGTGCCTGTAATCCCAGCTACTTGGGAGGTTGACGGAGAAGAATCACTTGAACCCGGGAGGCAGAGGTTGCAGTGAACCAAGATTGTGGCACTGCACTCCAGCCTAGGAGACAGAGCAAGACTATATCTTGAGAAAAAAAGAAAGAAATTAGTGACCCAAATCTTTAATTCACCCAATATTCCCCCTCACCCTGCATCCCATTATTCTCAGGCAAAAAGAAAAGAGGGTAATTGCAACGGTTAGTAATGATAGCAGCCACTATTGAATGCATGGGCTTGGTTTCATTCAACCTTCCAATACCTGTAAGATGTACAGCATCCTATTCAACTAAGATCCCATTAAGCAGCCTAAGATTGTATCAGTAGAGCCAGAGCAATCAATTTTTTTTCTGTCCTCGAGATGGAGTTTTGCTCTGTTGCCCAGGCTGGAGTGCAATGGCGTGATCTTGGCTCACTGCTACCTCTGCCTCCTAGGTTCAAGCAATTCTCTTGCATCAGCCTCCATGAGTAGCTGGGATTACAGGCACGCGCCACCATGCCCAGCTAATGTTTTTGTATTTTTAGTAGACGTGGGGTTTCACCATGTTGGCCAGGCTGGTCTTGAACTCCTGACCTTGTGATCCACCTGCCTTGGCCTCCCAAAGTGCTGGGATTACAGGCATGAGCTACCGCACCCAGCCAAGATTTTTTTTTTTTTTTTTGAGACAGTCTCACACTGTTGCCCAGACTGGAGTGCGGTGGTGTGATCTCAGCTCACTGCAACCTCCGCCTCTCAGGTTCAAATGATGCTCCTGCCTCAGCCTCCTGAGTAGCTGGGACTACAGGCGTGCGCCAACATGCCCAGCTAATTTTTGTATTATTAGTAGAGACAGAGTTTCACCATGTTGACCAGGCCGGTCTTGAACTCCTGACCTCAAGTGATCCACCCACCTCGGCCTCCCAGGCGTGAGCCACTGCGCCTGGCCCAGGGCAATAATTTGAGGCCAATGACCACCTACTACACCAGTGTGGCCAAGTGAGGCTTCATGGAACCCCATGATGCATGTAGGTTCTCATCGCCTGGGCAGCCACTGGACAGCTTCCCAAGGGGAGAGCTCTCAAACCAGAGGACTAACAGAAAAGGGGCAACTTGATGTTCCTGAAGGGTTCTTGCTTGAAAAATGTCAATAGCTGGTATTCTGAATCATCATACAGGAGAAGCATGAACCATGAGTGAATGATCTCTGATAGAAGATAAAGATTCTGGGCTGGGCACGGTGGCTCATGCCTCACTTTGGGAGGCCGACGGCGGGGTGGGGTGGGGGTGGGGGGGTAGATCACCTGAGGTCATGAGTTCGAGACCAGCCTGGCCAATGTGGTAAAACTCCATCTCTACTAATAATACAAAAATTAACCAGGTGTGGTGGTGTGCACCTGTAATCCCAGCTACTCAGGAGGCTGAGGCAGGAGAATCACTTGAACCTGGGAGGTGGAGGCTGCAGTGACCTGAGATCATACCAACGCACTCCAGCCTGGGTGACAGAGCGAGACTCCATCTCAAAAAGAAAAAAGAAAAAGAAAAAACCAAAACCAAAACCAAAACATAAGGACTCTGGCTGGGCATGGTGGCTCATGCCTATAATCCCAGCACTTTGGGAGCCTGAGGAGGGCAGGTCACCTGAGGTCATGAGTTCGAGACCAGCCTGGCAATGTGGCGAAACCAGCTCCACTAAATGCACAAAAATTAGCCGGGCGTGGTGGCGGGTGCCTGTAATCCCAGCAACTTGGGAGGCTGAGGCAGCAGAATTACTTGAACCCAGGAGACAGAGGTTGCAGTGAGCCAAGATCGTGCCATTGCACTTTGGCCTGGGCAACAGAGCAAGACTTCATAAAAAAAAAAAAAAAGATGATAAAGATTCTGGGAGTTTCTTTGGATTCAGGGTCCTCACGTATGGTTGTCCAGGGTGTTTACTGTTCAAGGCAAGTAGAAACTCAAGTTCAGCCCATGCTGCATCCTGGGTCATCTGCCCTTAGTACTGTTTCTAGTCAGAATAACGAACTTTTTCTTATTTACACAAAATTGCCACATAAGCTTGTGGTAGCTTATGTTTGTATGATGAAGGATTTTAATGATTAAGAGATATACCCGAGATATCGCAGGTTACATTCTGGATGTCTCAAGACCTCACACAATGCGGGAAACATATCATCCTGGTCATTGCCTTGAAGGGTCAGATACGTTACAGTCTTGTGACCTCGAAGAGCTAGGCAGAGGTTCCGATGAGCATCAGCTGGGGAAATGTTTTTGAACCTAGGGAAAAGAGAACGAAAGTGAAATCTTTAGTGTGTACACCTGTATCGTACTTAAATGGAAACCAGGGGCTCGATATATTTAAACTTTAGGAACTATTTTTTCCATGTTTAAATTTTTGTCCATCTTTACAGATTTTTTTTTTCTTTGAGATGGAGTCTCACTCTGTTGCCCAGGCTGGAGTGCAGTGGCGCGATCTCGGCTCACTGCAAAGCAAACTCTGCCTCCCGGATTCAAGCGACTCCTACCCTCAGCATCCGGAGTAGCTGGGATTATAGGCACCTGCCACGACACCTGGCAAATTTTTGTATTTTTCGTAGAGACAGGGTCTTGCACCATCTTGGCCAGGCTGGTCTTGAACTCCTGACCTCAAGTGATCCCCCCACCTTGGGCCCCCAAAGTGCTGGGACTACAGGCGTGAGCCATTGTGCCCGGCCCTTTTTTTCTTTTTCTTTTTTTTTTTTTTTTTTTTTGAGACGCAGTCTCGCTCTGTCACTCAGACTGGAGTCCAGTGGCAGGATCTTGGTTCACTGCAACCTCCGCCTCCTGGGTTCAAGTAATTCTCCTGCCTCAGCCTCCCAAGTAGCTGATATTACAGGTGCCTGCCACCACGCCTGGATAATTTTTGTATTTTTAGTAGAGGCAGGGTTTTGTCACGTTGGCCAGGCTGGTCTCGAACTCCTGACCTCAAGTGATCTGTCTGCCTCGGCCTCCCGAAGTGTTGGAATTACAAGTGTGAACCACCATGCCCAGCCCCTAGAAATTACTTTATACGATTATCCCACAAAATAAATTTAAGGACAGGACTCTCTCAATTCCCTGTGTCTCGAGCACTTAAGAGTCTAGTACAGGAATCTGAATATTGCTCCGATGTTAACATTGTACCATTTTCATACCCTAAGGATTTGAGTTCATGAATTAGTTTCTACTTACACCACTCTCTGGAGATGACAGGTGTCAGAGGCTATTTGTTCACACAGGATCCTTACTAGGGAGGCACTGAGAAAGCTATCATTGATTGCTAGACCCATCAGATCCTTATTTGATCCAAATATGGAACAAAGGTCCGTCCAGAAAGGAAGCATGTGCTGATCATCCTGGGATCTATAGGGAAGAGAAGAAAGGGTTACACCAAATGTGTGTCCATCACGGCTGAAGTATTTAGGGTTTCTCTGGGCATATACCCCTGACAAATGAGTACAATTGAAAGCTGGACCATGTAATCACTTATTAGCACCACCATCAGACAACTCAACACCCAAGAAGCATCACAGGAGAAAGAACCTATTCTTCTTAGACAAAAATCCAATAGAGGGTAAAAATAAGTTAAAATGCTAAGCACATCATTGATAAAAGATAGAGAATATAGACCGGGCACGGTGACTCACGCCTATAATCCTAGCACTTTGTGAGGCTGAGGCGGGTGGATCACCTGAGGTCGGGAGTTCGAGACCTGCCTGGCCAACATGGTGAAACCCCGTCTCTACTAAAAGTACAAAAATTAGCTGGGCATGGTCGTGGGTGGCTGTAATCCCAGCTACTCATGAGGCTGAGGCAGGAGAATCATTGAACCTGGTGGGGCGGAGGTTGCAGTGAGCCGAGATCGAGCCACTTCACTCCGACCTGGGAAAAAGAGTGAAACTCCGTCTCAAAAAAAAAAAAAAAGATTGGGAATATACATATCTATACATATCAATAAGAAATATTCAGGCAGGGCGTGTGGTAACTCATGCCTGTAATCTCAGTGCTTTGGGAGTTCAAGACCAGCCTGGACAACATAGTGAGATTTTGTCTTTCCAAAAAAAAAAAAAAAAAAAAAAACACAAAAAAAAACCCCCACTTAAGTTAGCTGGACATGATGGTGCACACTTAATACCTGTCATCCCAGGTACTCAGGAACATCACTTGAACCCAGAAGTTTGAGGATGCAGTGAGCTGATTTCACCACTGTACTCCAGCCTGAGCAACACAGCAAGACCCTGTCTTAAAAAAATATATTTGGGCCGGGCATGGTGAATCATGCCTGTAATCCCACTTTGGAGGCTGAGGCAGGTGGATCACCTGAGGTCAGGCGGAGTTCAAGACCAGACTGGCCAACATGCTGAGATCCCGTCTCTAATGAAAATATAAAAATTAGCCGGGCAAGGTGGCAGGCGCCTGTAGTCCCAGCTACTCAGGAGGCTGAGGCAGAAGAATCACTTGAACCCGGGAGGCGGAGGTTGCAGGGAGCCAAGATCGCGCCACTGCGCTCCAGCCTGAGCGACAGAGCAAGACTCCATCTCAAAACAAAAACAAACAAAGAGTCCAACAAGAGGGAATTCCTGACCCTAAGCCACAGTGCATAGGAGGCTCTGGCCTCTTCCTAAGGGGGCATGGGATGAGGCTAAAGATGGAACGACTGGTAGAGTGAAACGGTTCTCACCTCTCAACCTCGGCGTCTGATTCAGACGCAGTGACATTCTCCGGGAGATTCTCCTTTATTACCTGCAGTGACATTTTCTGCAGGTTTCGACAGTGCTTGACGCAGAATGAAGATGGCACAACGTCTACTGCATTTAAGTGCAGGGATATTTCTTTGAACTGAGCCATCACCTCCTTCACCAGCTCCTCCTCCTGAGACTCGTACAGACAGCCGAGGAGCTCCTGCAGGTCTGTCACCGTTGAATGTCCACCCTTACAACTTATGTCGCATCGCAGCAATTCCTGTTTGATGTCCGGTGACATCCGGCAGCCAAAAGTGGCCTCCAACTCCTTGGCTCTCTTCTCGTTAGCGAGGCCAAAGGAGTAGTAGCCTGCTTGGATCAGGTCGGGGTTCCTGAGTCTTTCTACTCCGGAAAGCAGCTTCTGTACGTCCCCAATGTCCCAGGTGTGGCCGTCCCTATCCTCTTCCTCCTCCTTCTCCAGGGTGTAGAACAGGGCAGTGAGAAACTGCTGGAAGCTGAGGTGGATGAAGGAGTAGCAGCCTTTGGAGACTCTGTCCTGGCGGAGGATGTCTCCGTCCAGGAACAGACGGAGGTCGGACTCCTGCACCCCGAGCCTTTCCAGATCCTCTCGGTGAAGCACGGACGTCTGCGCCCACAGGCCCTGCGCGGCCAGGAGGCTCAGCGTCCGCAGCGCGCCCCGCAGCTGTGCGCCCTGCGGGAACCGGCTGCAGAGGAAACGCAGGAACAGCCCCGTGCGGGTGAGGCAGGTGGGGACCGGGTCCTCCCCCTTCTCCATCTGCAGCTTCAGAGTCGTGCACACGATCCAGCACACCGCGGGGGCCGAGCCCAGCTGGAACAGGGCCGCGTTGCTCCTCATTAGCTCAAAGGCACGCATGGCTTGGTCCTCGTCTCCAAAGTGTCTCAGGAAATAGGCCCTCCTGTCCTCCTCCAGGAAGCCCTCCACCCTTATGTAGATCGGCTCCTCCGCCAGGATCCGGAGGTCCCTCAGGGCCCTGGGCCGCGTGGTGACCAGCAGGGCGGCCTTGGGTAACATCACCCTGTTCAGCAAACTCCCCAGGAGGACGGGCACCGGCTTCTTCTTCTCCCAGTCCCCGCAGATGTCCTCGATCAGCGCCCCAGGTGCGGCTCCCAGCTCATCAAAGCCGTCAATCACGAACAAGATTTTCCGTGCTTGGGCTAGGATGTGTGGAATGTCATCCTGCAATTCAGGCCAGTCCCTGAAGACCAGCTCTGCAAAACTGCACGGGCCCAGGCGGCTGAGCTCCCTGCAGCTGAGGTAGAACGCATATTTGAATTTGTGGATGAGGTTGTCCTCTGCCCAGTCTAGCATTAGTTTCTGGGCCAGCGTGGTTTTCCCAAGGCCTGCAGGACCATACAGCACCACCGTGTATGAGAAGGGCCCGGGAAGCACCCTGGGGTTGCTGAATGGGATCAGCATCTTGTATCTCTCAGCCATAACCTGGACCTCTTTGCTATCTCCAGGCCAGCTCTTCCACATCTCCCGGAACTTCGTCTTCAATATATACCTGCACCTATTGTCTTTGTCTTTATCATTGGTGAGGAGGGAAGGGAGAGAGGATGCAATCAGTTACCCATAGGGAAAACCAAAATAACAAAATGCCTTGTGTTGGCCGGGCACAGTGGCTCATGCCTGTAATCCCAGCCCTTTGGGAGGTCGAGGCAGGCAGATCACCTGACATTGGGAGTTCAACACCAGCCTGACCAACATGAAGAAACCTTGTCTCTACTAAAAATAAAAAATTAGCCAGTCATGGTGGCGCATGCCTGTAATCCCAGCTACTCGGGAGGCTGAGGCAGGAGAATTGCTTGAACCTGGGAGGCGGAGGTTGCAGTGAGTCGAGATCACGCCACGGCACTCCAGCCTGGGCAACAAGAGCAAAACTCCGTCTCGATACATACATACATAAATAAATGCTTTGTGTTACATAGGAAAGTTAAGAGGACTTCAAGTTTATAAAGAGAAATCTGATCCCAAGCTCCCTGCAGGAAGATATGGTACAGACCTGGCTTTTTTCCTTTAAAGACTTCTTTACCCAGGCAGATGACATTTCCTTTCGTTTCTGTAAACGCTACAAAATACAAACTCATGTGAGATTGACACAAAATCAGGTGTATTTCCTGTGGAGTCCCAATTAGAGAAAAGGAGGCAGGCTGATGGGGCGGGGGGGAGGGGGGGCACGGGATCAGATAAAGCAAATAAGCTACAAATGTGTTTTCCGGCCAGGTGTGGTGGCTCATGCCTATAATCCCAGAACTTTGGGAGGCTGAGGTGGGGTGGATCACTTGAGCTCAGGAGTTCGAGACCAGCCTGGCCAACACAGAAACCCCATCTCTACTAAAAATGCAAAAATTAGCCAGGCGTGGTGGCGCATGCCTGTAATCTCAGCTACTTGGGAGGCCAAGAGGCTCGAGAATTGCTTGAACCTGGGAGATGGAGGTTGTAGTAAGAGATCGCACTACTGCACTCCACCCTGGGCAACAGAGCAAGACTCCATCTCAATAAAATAAATAAATAAGCTTTCCTCCATGGTTCAGGGCATACAAACAAGAGGAAACAGGTCAGCTATAGGTCTGTTTGAGACAGTCTCACTCTGTTGCCCAGGCTGGAGTGCAGTGGCGCAATCTCAGCTCACTGCAACCTCCGCCTCCCGGGTTCAAGCGATTCTCCTGCCTCAGCTTCCCAAGTAACTGGAATTACAGGCATGTGCCACTGCGTCTAGGCTAATTTTTGTATTTTTAGTAGAGATGGGGTTTCGCCATGTTGGCCAGGCCAGTCTAAAACTGCTGACCTCAGATGATCCACCCACCTCAGCCTCCCAAAGTGCTGGGATTGCAGGCATGAACCACTGCACTGGGCCAGGTCTGCTTTTATGGTCCAGGAGATACGGCCCAAGATGTTTGGCCTTCCTGGCCAGATCACACACAGAGCTCACAAACTCCCTGTTTGCCATGAAACGCCTCAGTTTATCAAACACTTCTGCTGAAAGAAGACCGCAAGTTAAACCCCCTGTTGACATTATCAATCAGCCCAAGCCCTATTCTATAAAATCTGCAGGAAGCTTTGGTCTCCTGGCAGTGAGCTACTCATGACAACCTGCCCGCTGGGGTCTCTCTGCCAATGTCTTTTCCTACTTTCTCCAATAAATCTGCCTTCCTTTACCTACGATTGTCTTCATAAATTTCTTTACCCGCGGCTGGGCGCGGTGGCTCACGCCTGTAATCCCAGCACTTTGGGAGGCCAAGGCGGGTGGATCATAAGGTCAGGAGATCGAGACCATCCTGGCTAACACGGTGAAACCCTGTCTCTACTACAAATACAAAAAATTAGCCGGGCGTGTGGCGGGCGCCTGTAGTCCCAGCTACTGGGGAGGCTGAGGCAGAATGGCGTGAACCCGGGAGATGGAGCTTGCAGTGAGCCGAGATTGCGCCACTGCACTCCAGCTTGGGTGACAGAGCAAGACTGTCTCAAAAAAAAAAACAAAACAAAACATTTCTTTACCTGCCATGCCACCAGGCACTATTCACCCACATTTCCTGCTGAAGCATGATGATAGAGCAGGCACCACAGTACCCCAAGTCGCACCGAAATTCTTTGTCAAGATTGTGTGCTAGGCTGGGCACAGTGGCTCACGCCTGTCATCCCAGCACTTTGGGAGGCTGAGGCGGACGGATCACGAGGTTAGGAGATCCAGACCATCCTGACTAACACGGTGAAACCCTGTCTCTACTAAAATACAAAAAATTAGCTGGGCGTGGTGGCACACACCTGTACTCCCAGCTATTTGGGAGGCTGAGGCAGGAGAATCGCTTGAACCTGGGTAGCAGAGGTTGCAGTGGGCCAAGATTGCACCACTGCACTCCAGTCTGGGCAACAGAGTGAGACTCCATCTCAAGAAAAAAAAAGATTGTGTGCCAGGAATGACATTGGCCGTGTCTAGAGAGATGAACAGGGCAAACAATTCCTTCAACCAAGTTACTCACCTCTATTATACAGAGCCATAGCAAGAAATACTTGCTGTATCAAAAGTCAATGTGGGCTAGGTACGGTGGCTCATGCCTGTAATCCCAGCACTTTGGGAGGCCGAAGTGGGTGGATCACCTGAGGTCAGGAGTTCAAGACCAGCCTGCCCAACATGGTGAAACCCTGTCTACTAAAAATAAAACTAACAAATGCAAAAATTAGCCAGATGTGGTGGTGGGCGCCTATGATCCCAGCTACTCGGGAGGCTGAGGCAGAATCACTTGAACCTGGGAGGTGGAGGTTGTGGCGAGCCGAGATCACACCATTGCACTCTAGCCTGGGCGACAAGGGCAAAACTCTTTCTCAAGAAAAAACAAAAATGCTACCAGGAAGATAAGAGGGAATGTGGAGTAAGCAAGGCTGATCTGAAACTGATCACAGGCTAGGTGCGGTGGTTCACAGCTGTAATCCCAGCACTTTAGGAGACCGAGGTAGGTGGATCACTTGAGGTCAGGAGTTCTAGACCAACCTGGCTACCCTGTTGAAACCCCATCTGTACTAAAAACACAAAAGTTAGCCAGGCATAGTGGTGGGCACCTATAGTCCCAGCACCTGGGGAGGCTGTGGCAGGAAGACCCCTTGAACCCAGGAGGCAGAGATTGCAGTGAGCCAAGATGGGGCCACTGCACTCCAGCCTGCATGACAGAGTGAGACTCTATTTCAAAAACAAAAAAAACAGAAAAAACCTATCACAAAGTCAGCTCAGGCAAGTCACCTACCCAAAAGACTCAATTTTCTCTGTAAGTTGTTTATATTAAAGTTGTCTGAGCAATGTACCATAAATACATTTATGCCTGTCAATTTTTTTTTTTTTTTTTTAAGATGGAGTCTCGCACTGTTGCCAGGCTGGAGTGCAGTGGCACAATCTTGGCTCACTGCAACCTCCACCTCCCGGGTTCAAGCGATTCTCCTGCCTCAGCCTCCTGAGTAGCTGGGACTACAGGCGGGTGCCACCACACCCGGCTAATTTTTGTGTTTTTAGTAGAGTTGGGTTTCACCATGTTGGCCAGGATGGTCTCGATCTCTTGATCCACCCGCCTCAGCCTCCCAAAGTGCTGGGAGATTATAGGTGAGAGCCACCACACCTGGCCACCTGTCAACTTTTAAATAATTTAAAGAAGGCCGGGTACGGTGGCTCTCGCCTGTAATCCCAGCACTTCGGGAGACTTGGGGGTGGGTGGAGCAGATCTCTTGAGGTCAGGAGTTTGAGACCACCCTGAATGAGATGGTGAAACCTGTCTCTACTAAAAGTACAAAAAAAAATTAGCTGGGCGTGGTGGCATGCACCTGTAGTCCCAGCTACTCAGGAGGCTGAGACAGGACAATCACTTGAATCTGGGAGGCGGAGGTTGCAGTGAACAGGGATGGTGCCACTATACTCCAGCCTGGGTGACAAGAACAAGACTTCGTCTCAAAAAAAAAAAAAAAAATTAGCTGGGTGTGGTGGCAGGTGCCTATAATCCCAGCTACTCAGGAGGCTGAGTCAGGAGAATCAGGAGAATCGCTTGAACCTGGGAGGTGGAGGTTACAGTGAGCCGAGATCGCGCCATTGCATTCCAACCTGGCCAACAGAGAAACTGTCTCAAAACAAAAACAAAAACAAAAACTCTCTGCGCTGTGCTCCTAACTTTCTACAAACTGAGTTCTAATTCTCTGCAACGTTCGTTCTTCCCTCTATTCTTACGGAAGGGAGGTTGGCATTCTCCAGGAGACAGTGGGCACATTAAGAATAGTGGAGGAAAAGATTGGAGAGAGATGGGGTTCTTCAAAGGAACAGGAGATAGCAGCAAGAACGGGGGGCTTCCTCAGCTGACTCCAACATTGGAGGTCCTGACACCCACCTTGTGCTTCTGTTTTGAAGCGCTCCAGCATTTCGTCCACGTCTAGAGGTGGTCGTTCTTTCCGTGTTATCCCTGGAGAAAAAGGGCGGCATTACAGGCCTGTTGCTGTGCTGGCAGTGGGACTCCAAGATGGCTCAAGTTGGACCCCTGAGTCTCAGTAGTGAAGCCTAGATTAGGTACTAAAAAGGACGTTGATAAGGTACTGGATGTAAAAGTGAAAGTACATTAGGCCATGATCCCAGGTTTATGTGCCTTTCTGGTGAGAATTCCTAAGTAGTTCAGAACACATGGTGTGAAAGACACACACACACACACACACACACACACACACACACAAACTACTCACGCATAAGGCCACTGGAAAGGCTTTGAGGATTAACTGCCTAGTTTTTCTTTTTTTTTGAGATGTAGTTTTGCTCTTGTTGCCCAGGCTGGAATGCAATGGTGTGATGTCGGCTCACTGCAACCTCCGCCTCCTGGGTTCAAGTGATTCTCCTGCCTCGGCCTCCGGAGTAGCTGGGATTACAGGAATGTGCCACCATACCTGGCTAATTTTGTATTTTTAGTACAGACAGGGTTTCTCTACGTTGGTCAGGCTGGTCTCGAACTCCCAACCTCAGGTGATCTGCCTGCCAGGCCTAACCCCCTAGTTTCTGATGAGGTAGATAAATTTAAAATGAACTGGGAAAGAATGTAAGAACAAGGTGGAATCAGCCGGGCATGGTGGCTCATGCCTGTAACCCAACACTTTGGGAGGCCAAGGCAGGCGGATCATGAGGTCAGGAGATCGAGACCATCCCGGCCAACATGGTGAAGCCCCGTCTCTACTAAAACAAAAAATTAGCCGGGCATGGTGGTGTGTTACCTGTAAGTCCCAGCTACTTGCGAGGCTGAGGCAAGGGAATTGCTTGAACCCAGGAGGCGGAGATTGCAGTGAGCCAAGATCGCTCCACTGCACTTCAGCCTGGCAAAAGAGCAAGCGAGACTCCGTATCAAAAAAAAAAAAAAAAAGAGAGAGAACAAGGTGGAATCCTAATAACAATATCTGCAGCTTAACCCTGGATAATGAAGAGGTGAGTCCATGGAACTCCTGAAAAGATGCTGGGGAGGGAACTGGACACGGGCATGTGAAATTCAGGACAAAGGCTGATCTGAGAAGAGCCTTTAGAGTCTTCACCACCAGGTGAGGTGGCTCATGCCTGTAATCCCAGTACTTTGTGAGGCTGAGGCAGACAGTTCATTTGAGGTCAGCAGTTTGAGACCAGCCTGGCCAACATGGTGAAACCCTGTCTCTACTAAAAATACAAAAATTAGCCAGACGTGGTGGTAGGCGCCTGTAATCCCAGCTACTTGGGAGGCTAAGGCAGGAGAATCACTTGAACCTGGGAGGCGGAGGCTGCAGTGAGATTGTACCACTGCACTCCAGCCTGGGTGACAGAGCAAGACTCTGTCTCAAAAAAGGTCTTCATGAGACCAGGCGCAGTGACTCACACCTGTAATCCCAACACTTTGGGAGGCTGAGGCACGTGGATCACGAGGTCAGGAGTTCAAGACCAGCCTGGCCAACATGGTGAAACCCCATCTCTACTAAAATTACAAAAATTAGCTGGGCTTGGTGGCAGACACCTATAATCCCAGCTACTCGGGAGGCTGAGGCAAGAGAATCACTTGAACCGGGAGGCGGAGGTCAGAGGTTGCAGTGAGCTGAGATCATGCCACTGCATTCCATCCTGGGCAACAGAGTGAGACTTTGTCCAAAAAAAAAAAGTCTTCATGGCCAGGTGTGGTGAATCATGTCTGTAATCCCAGCACTTTGGGAGGCCAAGGTGGGAGGATCACTTGAGACCAGGAGTTTGACACCATATCTGGCAACATAGTGAAACTGTCCCTACCAAAAATACAAATATTAGTCAGGTGTGGCAGTGCACACCTGTAGTCCCAGCTACTCAGGAGGCTGAGGTAAGAGGATCTCTGGAGCCTGGAAGGTTGAGGCTGCAATGAGCTATGACTGTGCCACTGCAATCAAGCCGGAGCAACACAGCAAGACCCCATCTCAAAACACAATCTTCAGGGGCCGGGCGCGGTGGCTCACGCCTGTAATCCCAGCACTTTGGGAGGCCGAGGCGGGCGGATCACAAGGTCAGGAGATCGAGACCATCCTGGCTAACACGGTGAAACCCCGTCTCTACTAAAAACACAAAAAAATTAGCCAGGCGTGGTGGTGGGCGCCTGTAGTCCCAGCTACTCGGGAGGCTGAGGCAGGAGAATGGCATGAACCCGGGAGGCGGAGCTTGCAGTGAGCCGAGATCACGCCACTGCACTCCAGCCTGGGCAACAGAGAGAGACTCTATCTCAAAAAAAAAAAAAATAATAATAATCTTCAGGATATAAGTAGCTGGTAAGGGCCAGGTGTCATGGCTCACACCTGTACCCCAGCAGTTTGGGAGGGTGAGGCAGGAGGACTGATTGAGTTTAGTAATTCGAGGCCAGCCTGGGCAACATAGCAAGACCCTGTCTCTACAAAAAGTGAAAAAAATTAGCCAGGCATGGTGGCAAGTGCCTGTGGTCCCAGCTACTCAGGAGGCTGAGGCAGGAGGATCACCAGAGCTTGGGAGGTCAAGGCTGCAGTGAACCATGATTGCACCACTCCAGCCTAAGTGACAGAGTGAAGCCCTGTTTCAAAAAAAAAAAAAAAAAAAAAAAAAAAAAAAAAAAAACAAAACCGGGTGTGGTGGTGGCTCATGCCCATAATCCCAGCATTTTGGGACGCTGAGGTGGGCAGATCACTTGAGGTCAGGAGTTCAAGACCAGCCTGGCCATCATGGTGAAACCCCATCTCTACAAACACCACAAAAAATTAGCCGGGCCTGGTGGCAGGTACCTGTAATCCCAGCTATTCTAGAGGCTGAGGCAGGAGAACTGCTTGAACCCAGGAGGTAGAGGTTGCAGTCAGCCGAGGTCGTACCACTGCACTTCAGCCTAGGTGACAGAGCAAGCCTCCATCTCAAAAAAGAAAAGTCTCTACCTTATCCAGATTCAAAGGCCAAGCTTACCCTTCCCCGCTTTGTATGTATTTATAGATTTCCAACAAACGCGATCGTGTTTCAGCTTCCCAGGTCTTACTGCTACGCACCTGCGAGACCAGCTCCGCCCTGGGAGCAGGGATGCTAAGTCCGGCATTTCTTTGCATTCTTAGTGCTCAGCACATTCTCCTTAAAACAAAGGCCCGAGTCCCCAGATCTCACATGAAGAATAAAAGTTATAAATGAGGTAACTTACCTAATGATAGAGGCTTCCTTTTATTAAAGGATTTCAAAGCTGCTTCTGAAAAAGGAGAAGGGGGGAAAATTTTGCATTTTACCATAAGCTCAAGATTTTATTGCCTTCATAAAAGAAAAGATGACACTTAGAACTGGATCACTTGTTCCTTTCTCTTATCTCCTTCCAGTTCAAAATGCTTGCATCTTTTTTTTTTGAGACAGAGTGTCACTCTGTTGCCCAGGCTGGAGTGGCACAATCTTGGCTCACTGCAACCTCTGCCTCCCAGGTTCAAGCGATTCTCCTGCCTCAGCTTCCTGAGTAGCTGGGACTATAGGCATACACCACCATGCCCAGCTAAGTTTTGTATTTTTAGTAGAGATGGGGTTTCACCATTTTGGCCAGGCTGGTCTCAGACTCCTGACCTTGTGATCCGCCCACCTCGGCCTCCCAAAGTGTTGGGATTACAGGCGTGAGCCACCGCGCTTGGCTGCTTGTATCTTTTAATAGCCAGCATTCTTAGATCTGCAGTTGGGCTCAAGGCACTCAAGCCTTAGCACAATCTTCTTTGTAGTTTTAGCCTTTTTCCGGAAAATCGGCTTAGTCTGCCCACCATAGCCACTCTGCTTCCTGTCATAACACTACTTCCCCTGGGCATACCAAGAATCCTTGCCTTGTGTCACTTTGTGGGGGTGGTGCTTGCCACACTTCTTACAGAAAGTCCGGCGGGTTTCAGGAACATTCACCATGTCTGTGTGAGCGCTATTGGCATGGAAAGAAAATTTGTATCTTTTTCAGAGCCCAGACCTTCGTAAGTTTACAACTCTCTGGGTTTCCTCCTGCCGTTTTCAAACTTGTAACCTCCGGAGGTCAGCTAAAGTTAAAAACCCTTGGCCGGGCATGGTTGCTCACACCTGTAATCCCAGCACTCTGGGAGGCTGAGGTGGGCAGATCACCTGAGGTCGGGAGTTCGAGACCAGTCTGGTCAACATGGTAAAACCCTGTCTCTACTAAAATACAAAAATTAGCGGGCATGGTGGTAGGCGCCTGTAATCCCAGCTACTCTGGAGGCTGAGGCAGGAGAATCACTTAAACCTGGGAGGAGGAGGTCACAGTGAGCCGAGATCGCGCCATTGCACTCTAGCCTGGGAGACAAGAGTGAAACTTCGACTCAAAAGCAAAACCAAAATCCAAACCAAACCAAAAAAAAAAAAAAAAAAACCCTCACCCATTGTTAAAGACAGGAAACATTATGCTAAAAAGTGATCTCTAGCTGAAATAAAACTGGCAATTTTTAAATAAAAAGATAGGAGTTCCTTAAGGTTGAGGAGTATTCCATTGTGTAATTAATACCATGTTTGTTTGTTTTTTTTTTTTGAGATGGAGTCTTGCTGTCACCCAGGCTGGAGCGCAGTGGCACGATCTTGGCTCACTGCAACCTCTGACTCTCTGGTTCAAGCAATCCTCCTGCCTCAGCCTCCCAAGTAGCTGGGACTACAGGAGTGTGCCACCACGCCCGGCTGATTTTTTTATATTTTTAGTAGAGACAGGGTTTCACCACATTGGCCTGACTGGTCTCAAACTCCTGGCCTCAAGTGATCCACCCGCCTTGGCCTCCCAAAGTGCTGTGATTACAGGCGTGAGCCACTGTGCCCGGCCTACCATGTTTCCTTTTTAAGGCTTGGGGTCCCAACAATCTCATAACCCAGGCAGTAGGCAGGGTACCCAACGGGCACATTTTTTATTCATCCACTGATGGTCACTTAGACTGACTCTATATCTTGGTTACTGTAAATAAAGCTGCACTGGCCAGGCACTGTGGCTCATGTTTCTGATCCCAGGACTGTGGGAAGCCAAGGCAGGAGGATCGGTTGAGCCCACAGAAGTTCGAGACCAGCCTGGGCAACATGGTGAAACCCTATCTCTACAAAAATATATATATATACAAGAATGAGCGAGGTGTGGTGGGAGGCCATAGTGGTAGGATTGCTCAAGTCTGGGAGGTCAAGGCTGCAGTGAGCTGTGATTGCCCCATTGTACTCCAGCCTGAGCAAGAAAACGAGACCCCGTTTCAAAAAAAAGTGTAGCTGGGCATGGCGGCTCACACCTGTAATTCCAGCACATTGGGAGGCTGAGGCGGGTTGATCACGTGGTCAGGAGTTCAAGACCAGCCTGGCCAACATAGTGAAACCCCATCTCTATTAAAATACAAAATTTAGCCAGGCACAGTGGCAGGTGCCTGTATAATCCTAGCTATTCAAGAGGCTGATGCAGGAGAAACACTTGAACCCAGGGGGCGGGAGTTGCAATAAGCTGAGATTGTGCTGCTGCACTCCATCCTGGGTGACAGAGTGAGACTTGTCTCAAACAAACAAAAAAAAAAGTTATGGGGTAGAAAGTAGAGTAGTTCTAAATGCACTTGCTGGCTGGGTGCGGTGGCTCACGCCTGTAATCCCAACACTTTGGGAGGCCGAGGCGGGCAGATCATGAGGTCACGACATCGAGACTATCCTGGCTAACATGGTGAAACCCCATCTCTATTTAGAATACAAAAAAAAAAAAAAAAAAAATCAGCCAGGCATGGTGGGACATGCTTGTAATCCCGGCTACTCGGGAGGCTGAGGCAGGAGAATCGCTTGAACCCGGGAGGCGGAGGTTGCAGTGAGCCGAGATCGTGCTGCTAAATTCCAGCCTGGGTGACAGAGTGAGATCCTCTCTCAAGAAGAGTTAAATAACCATAGTTCATGTGCATTTTATTGTATTGTTATTTTTAATTGTCTTTGCCCCCATTATTTTTGATCTAGGATTGGTTAAATCCACAGATATGTTAGGCCAACTGTACGATACCTGAAAGCGATAGAAATAGGTAGAAAATAATTTACAAGAAAAAAACAAACAACCCCATCAAAAAGTGGGCGAACGACATGAACAGACACTTCTCAAAAGAAGACATTTATGCAGCCAAAAAACACATGAAAAAATGCTCATCATCACTGGCCATCAGAGAAATGCAAATCAAAACCACTATGAGATATCATCTCACACCAGTTAGAATGGCGATCATTAAAAAGTCAGGAAACAACAGGTGCTGGAGAGGATGTGGAGAAATAGGAACACTTTCACACTGTTGGTGGGACTGTAAACTAGTTCAACCATTGTGGAAGTCGGTGTGGGGATTCCTCAGGGATCTAGAACTAGAAATACCATTTGACCCAGCCATCCCATTACTGGGTATATACCCAAATGACTATAAATCATGCTGCTATAAAGACACATGCACACGTATGTTTATTGCAGCATTATTCACAATAGCAAAGACTTGGAACCAACCCAAATGTCCAACAATGATAGACTGGATTAAGAAAATGTGGCACATATATACCATGGAATACAATGCAGCCATAAAAAATGATGAGTTCATGTCCTTTGTAGGGACATGGATGAAATTGGAAACCATCATTCTCAGTAAACTATCACAAGAACAAAAAACCAAACACCGCATATTCTCACTCATAGGTGGGAATTGAACAATGAGATCACATGGACACAGGAAGGGGAACATCACACTCTGGGGACTGTGGTGGGGTGGGGGGAGGGGGGAGGGATAGCATTGGGAGATATACCTAATGCTAGATGACGAGTTAGTGGGTGCAGCGCACCAGCATGGCACATGTATACATATGTAACTAACCTGCACAATGTGCACATGTACCCTAAAACTTAAAGTATAATAAAAAAAATAATAATAATAAAATAAAAAATAAAAAAATAAAAGGACAAAAAAAAAAAAAAAAAGAAGTAGGTAGAAAATAAGGACCAGGACAGACACCAGGGTTTATGAAGATCCAGCACCTGCATTCAGAACAAGCAGTCCCTCTCCAAGCCTCAATGCCATTTCTTTTTTTTTTTGAGACAGAATTTTGCTCTTGTTGCCCAGGCTGGGGTGCAATGGCGTGATCTCGGCTCATAGCAACCCCCGCCTCCTAGATTTAAGTGATTCTCCTGCCTCAGCCTCCCGGAGTAGCTGGGATTACAGGTGTCTGCCACCACGTCCAGCAAATTTTTGTATTTTTAGTAGAGATGCTGTTTCATCACCATGTTGGTCAGGCTGGTCTCAAACTCCTGACCCTCAGGTGGTCCAACCGCCTCAGCCTCCCAAAGGGCTGGGACGACAGGCGTGAGCCAGCGCGCCTGGCCTTCTGAATTTCTAAAGTCCTGGAGAGGACGCCTGCTTCCTCCTAGGACACAGTGTGGACCGATTTCCACTCACCTCTGACTTCATCCTTTGCTCTCTCAGACAGATCCATTCGGTGCATCTTTTCAAAGACCTGGAGGCTCGCCATCTCCACCCAGTAGCTGTCACAATGGGTGGTGAGGATTTCTACCAGTTGCTTCCCATCAGCCTTGTCTACCTCCTTGTGGGGGATCTTCTGGAGCTCGTGTGCCAGGGAGAAGGTCGTGATCAGATACTTGAACTTGCTCAACTCATCCTGGCTGAGCTGCTCCAGGAGAGCCTGCAGGTTGAAGCCCATCTGCGCCGAAGACACCATCTTGTCCCACGTGGGAGCTGTGATGACAATCAAGGGAGGAGTGGAGAGGGATGGTGATTAGCACTCCTGTCTCAAATGCCAGTTCCTGCTGTGCCACGAACAAGGACACTCACCATCTACCCTGCTTCTTCAAGAACAAACTCCCAGCCTGGGCAACATAGTGAGACCCCCATCTCCATGAAAAATAAGTTAGCAGTGGGTGGTGGTACATGCCTGTAGTCCCAGCTACTCAGGAGGCTGCAGTGGGAGGATTGCTTGAGCCTGGGAGACTGAAACTGCAGTGAGCCTTGATTGTGCCACTGCACTCCCATCTGGGCAACAGAGCAAGACCTCAACTCATTTTACTTTTATTTACTTATTTTTGAGATAGTTTCACTCTGCAGCCCAGGCTGGAGTACAGTAGTACGATCTCAGCTCACTGCAACCTCTGCCTCCCAGGTTCAAACAGTTCTCCTGCCTCAGCCTCCCGACTAGCTGGGATTATGGGCACCCACCACCACGCTCAGCTACTTTTTGTATTTTTTTTTTTTTTTTTTTTGAGACGGAGTCTCACTTTGTCACCCTGGCTGGAGTGCAGTGCTGCAATCTCGGCTCACTACAACCTCTGCCTCCCGGATTCAAGCAATTCTCCTGCCTCAGCCTCCCAAGTAGCTGGGATTACAGGCATTCACCACTGTGCCCAGCTAATTTTTTTGTATTTTTAGTAGAGATGGGGGGTTTCACCAAGTTGGCCAGGCTGGTCTCGAACTCCTGACCTCGTGATTCACCTGCCTCAGTGCCCAGCTAGTTTTTCTAATTGCAAAATAACCAGCTACTGTCAGGGTTTTCCCTGAGGGGCTGCTCAGGTTCTAAAAGTTAACCTATAAAGCGAAAACACTCTCTCATTATAGCAAAGTAGTAACACAACAATGAAAGGACAAGCATAGATCAGATAAGGAAGTGGGGAGCTACGTGGATCACCCAGGAGACAAGAAACTTCGTGAAAACTGGGCTGAATATGATAATGCAAACACACAGCCGGGCGCGGTGGCTCACGCCTGCAATCCCAGCACTTTGGGAGGCCGAGGCGGGCGGATCGTGAGGTCAGGAGATCGAGACCATCCTGGCTAACACAGTGAAACCCCGTCTCTACTAAAAATACAAAAAATTAGCCGGGCGTGGTGGCAGGTGCCTGTAGTTCCAGCTACTTGGGAGGCTGAGGCAGGAGAATCGCTTGAACCTGGGAGTGGGAGGCAGAGGTTGTGGTGAGCTGACATGGCGCCACTGCACTCCAGCCTGGGGCGACAAGAGTGAAACTGTCTCAAAAAAAAAAAAGGCTTAAAGATAACTTAGTGGTGGAGCCTGGTCTCAGGACACAGGTGTGTGGCTTTTACTTTACTGAAGCTGGCCGGGGGGCCATGGCTCACACCTGGAACCCCAAACACTTTGGGAAGCCAAGGTGGGAGGATTGCTTGGAGTTTGAGACCAGCCTGGGCAACATGGCAAAACCCTGTCTCTACAAAAAAATACAAAAAAAAAAAAAATTGTGCTGGGCATAGTGGCATGCACCTGTAGTCCCAGCTACTGAGGAGGCTGAGGTGGGAGGATCACCTGAGCCAGGGAAGTTAAGGCTGCAGTGAGCTGTGATCGCACCACTGCACTCCAGCCTGGTAAAACAAACAAAAACACAACACTGGGGGTGGTGGCTGACGCTTGCAATCCCCGCACTTTGGGAAGCTCAGGTGGGTGATCACTCCAGTCCAGAAGTTCCAGACCAGCCTGGCAACTTAAGACCCTGTCTCTATTTTAAAAACAACAGGGCCGGGTGCGGTGGCTCACGCCTGTAATCACAGCACTTTGGGAGTCCAAGGTGGGAGGATCACCTGAGGTCTGGAGCTTGAGACCAGCCTGGCCAACATAGTGAAACCCTATATCGACTAAAAATACGAAAATTAGCCAGGTTGGTGACAGGCGGCTGTAGTCCCAGCTACTTAGAAGGCTGAGGCACGAGAATTGCTTGAACCTGGGAGGTGGAAGTTGCAGTGAGCTGAGATAGCGCCACTGTACTCCAGCCTGGGAAACAGAGCTAGACTTTGTCTCAAAAAAAAAAAAAAAAAAATAGCAGTAGCAACAAAAACTTTACAGAAAGGGTATAACACCTCTTTATATGATAGCTGTGAATAGCGTGAGAATGGCAACTGGCATAGGTATTTGCATAAGACTCAGGTCCGGAAGCTGGACTAGAATGATGCTAAGAGGCTCCCTCACCTCAGTGAATAAAAAACAATACCTTCTTGTTAAGAGGACTCATTAGACACAAAACCTTAGCACTGCCCAGGACTCCACACACAGCAACCACAGCATCTGACCTGTTCCAATATATTTTTTTTTTTGGAGCTCTCTATAGCTCTATCCTAAATCCCCCAAGAGAACAGAAATAAAAGCACACACAACTATCCTCTTATGAGCCAACCTTAACTAGAGTCTCTCTAGATCTAAGCATCTGCTACTCTTTCCCCAGTCAGAACCACTGAATTTTATTTTATTTTATTTTTTGAGACAGTTTCTCTCTTGCTGCGCAGGCTGGAGAGCAATGGTATGATCTAGGCTCCCCGCAACCTCCGCTTCCCGGGTTCAAGTGATTCTCCTGCCTCAGCCTCCTGAGTAGCTAGGATTACAAGTATGCGCTACCACGCCCACCTAATTTTATATTTTTAGTAGAGATGGGGTTTCTACATGTTGGTCAGGCTGGTCTCGAACTCCCGACCTCAGGTGATCCTCCCGCCTCGGCCTCCCAAAGCGCTGCGATTACAGGCGTGAGCCACTGAGACAGGCAGAACCACTTAATTTCTAACAGAAGAAAAGATTTAGGCCGGGCGCGGTGGCACCTGCCTATAATCCCAGAATTTTGGGAGTCTGAGGCAGGAAGATCGCTTGAGCCCAGGAGTTAGAGACCAGCTTCGGCAACATATTAAGACCCTACATCTAGTGAGTCTCTGCAAACAGTGGTAATAATAATATTATTAGCCAGAACAGATGTGGTGGCACCCTCCCACGGTCCCAGCTACTTCAAAGGCTGAGGCGTGAGGACTGCTTGAACCTGAGAGGTCAAGGGTTCAGTGAGCCGAGATCCTGCCACAGCGCTCCAGCCTGGGAAACAGAGTAAGACCCTCAAAAAAGAGAAGAAAAAAAAAAAAAAAAAAAAAAAAAAGGCTGGGCGCGGTGGCTCACGCCTGTAATCCCGGCACCTTGGGAGGCCGAGGCGGACTGAGACCAGCCTGGCCAACATGGTGAAACCCCGTCTCTACTAAAAATACAAAAAAATTAGCTGGGCATAGTGGCAGGTGCCTGTAGTCTCAGCTACTCGGGAGGCTGAGGCAGGAGAATGGCCTGAACCCGGGAGGCGGAGCTTGCAGTGAGCCGAGATCGCGCCACCGCACTCCAGCCTGGGCGACAGAGCGAGACTCCGTCTCAGAAAAAAAATATATGAAATAAAAGGAGAAATTTTACCAACTGTGGAATGGAGAAATAAAGAAATGAAGTTGCAGAGCTGCCGGAGAGCTACTCACCTCCCAACACCTGGCCCTACTCGCCGGCGGAGATGAGGGCTGCAGGTTGAGAAAGCTCTAATAAGGCTTCTCTCTCGGCCGCAGCCCTGTGATTGGCCCTCGGGGCGTAATCGTTGCTGAGCACTTCCTGTATCCACCGGAATTACTGAGAGGTCTTTTGGGGGCGGGGGGTGTTGGGGGGCGGTCCTTCACCTGAGCTTCCGGATCTCCACCTGTGGTCCTCCATCTTGACTGCCTGTTAAACTTACCTATGTGGAGCCTCATTTCAAAGCACGAACGCCTAGAGATTCTGCTTGATTGGTTACACTGGGACTGCCCAGACCCTGGAGTTCTTTCGAGAGTCCCAGATAACTGTGATTGCGGCCGAGGCTGAGAATCACCGCTTAGAAGCCTCAGCTGTGATTGGCTACCTTCTCCCATCACCCCAGGTATATTATTAATAAAAATCCAACCGTATTTCAAGTGAAATATCAATGACACGTCAACTATGAGACGCATGAAAAGCACCAAGTTCATCAGTTTCACATTCACAGTATTATTATTATTTTATTTTTAATGGAGTCTTGCTCTGTTCCCCAGGCTGGAGTGCAACGGCACGATCTCGGCTCCCCGCAGCCTCCGCCTGCCGGCTTCAAGTGATTCCCCTGCCTCAGCCTCCCGAGTAGCTGAGATTACAAGCATGCGCCACAACGCCTGGTTAATTTTTGTATTTTTTTCAATAGAGACGGGGTTTTGCCATGCTGGCCAGGCTGGTCTCAAACTCCCGACCTCAGGTGATCTGCCAGCCTCAGCCTCCTAAAGTGCTGGGATTACAGGCGTGAGCCACCTACTAAAAATACAAAAAATTAGCCGGGCGTGGTGGCGGGCGCCTGTAGTCCCAGCTACTCGGGAGGCTGAGGCAGGAGAATGGCGTGAACCCGGGAGGCGGAGCTTGCAGTGAGCAGAGATCGCGCCACTGCACTCCAGCCTGGGCGACAGAGCGAGACTCCGTCTCAGAAAAAAAATATATGAAATAAAAGGAGAAATTTTACCAACTGTGGAATGGAGAAATAAAGAAATGAAGTTGCAGAGCTGCCGGAGAGCTACTCACCTCCCAACACCTGGCCCTACTCGCCGGCGGAGATGAGGGCTGCAGGTTGAGAAAGCTCTATTAAGGCTTCTTTCTCGGCCGCAGCCCTGTGATTGGCCCTCGGGGCGTAATCGTTGCTGAGCACTTCCTGTATCCACCGGAATTACTGAGAGGTCTTTTGGGGGCGGGGGGTGTTGGGGGGCGGTCCTTCACCTGAGCTTCCCGATCTCCACCTGTGGTCCTCCATCTTGACTGCCTGTTAAACTTACCTATGTGGAGCCTCATTTCAAAGCACGAACGCCTAGAGATTCTGCTTGATTGGTTACACTGGGACTGCCCAGACCCTGGAGTTCTTTCGAGAGTCCCAGATAATTGTGATTGCGGCCGAGGCTGAGAATCACCGCTTAGAAGCCTCAGCTGTGATTGGCTACCTTCTCCCATCACCCCAGGTATATTATTAATAAAAATCCAACCGTATTTCAAGTGAAATATCAATGACACGTCAACTATGAGACGCATGAAAAGCACCAAGTTCATCAGTTTCACATTCACAGTATTATTATTATTTTATTTTTAATGGAGTCTTGCTCTGTTCCCCAGGCTGGAGTGCAACGGCACGATCTCGGCTCCCCGCAGCCTCCGCCTGCCGGCTTCAAGTGATTCCCCTGCCTCAGCCTCCCGAGTAGCTGAGATTACAAGCATGCGCCACAACGCCTGGTTAATTTTTGTATTTTTTTCAATAGAGACGGGGTTTTGCCATGCTGGCCAGGCTGGTCTCAAACTCCTGACCTCAGGTGATCTGCCAGCCTCAGCCTCCTAAAGTGCTGGGATTACAGGCGTGAGCCACCGTGCCTGGCTGGCAGTATTAATTTTGTAAACATATAGCCGGGCACAGTGGCTCACGCCTGTAATCCCAGCACTTTGGGAGGCCGAGGCAGGTGGATCACGAGGTCAGGAGATCGAGACCATCCTGGCTAACACGGTGAAACCCCGTCTCTACTAAAAATACAAAAAATTAGCCGGGCGTGGTGGCGGGCACCTGTAGTCCCAGCTACTCGGGAGGCTGAGGCAGGAGAATGGCGTGAACCCGGGAGGCGGAGCTTGCAGTGAGCCGAGATCGCGCCACTGCACTCCAGCCTGGGCGACAGAGCAAGGCTCCATCTCAAAAAAAAAAAAAAAAAAAAAAACACCATATAAATAAGACTAAAAAGTTGGGTTTTGGCCGGGCGCGGTGGCTCACGCCTGTAATTCCAGCACTTTGGGAGGCCAAGGCGGGTGGATCACGAGGTCAGGACTTCAAGACCAGCCTGGCCAAGATGATGAAACCCCGTCTCAACTAAAAATACAAAAAATTAGTCGGGCGTGGTGGCGGGTGCCTGTAATCCCAGCTACTTGGGAGGCTGAAGCAGAGAATTGCTTGAACCCAGGAGGCGGAGGTTGCAGTGAGCCGAGACCGCACCACTGCACTCCACCCTGGGCGACAGAGTGAGACTCCGTCTCAAAAAAAAAAAGAAAAAAGTTGGGTTTTATAGCTTTTTTTCATGTTTCTTTGTTTGTTTTGCTTTTTTTTTTTCTGAGACTGAGTCTGGCACTGTCGCCCGGGCTGGAGTGCAGTGGCGCAATCTTGGCTCACTGCAACCTCCGCCTCCAGAGTTCAAGCGATTCTCCTGCCTCAGCCTCCTGAATAGCTGGGATTACAGGCGCGTGCCACTGTACCCGGCTAATTTTCTTATTTTTAGTAGAGATGGGGTTTCACCATGTTGGACAGGGTGGTCTTGAACTCCCAACCTCAGGTAATCTGCTCACCTCGGCCTCCCAAAGTGCTAGGATTACAGGCATGAGCCACTGCGCCTAGCCTTTTTTTTGTATTTTTAGTAGAGATGGGGTTTCACTATGTTGGCCAGGCTGGTCTCAAACTCTTGACCTCGTGATCCGCCCGCCTCGGCCTCCCAAAGTGCTTGGGTTGCAGGCACGAACCACCGCGCCCAGCCTTTTTCATGTTTTAGAACCAACATATGTATATGTACATCTATATTTCTTTTCGTTTTTTCTTTTTGAGACAGGGTCTCACTCTGTCGCCTAGGCTGGTGTGCAGTGGCACAATCATAGCTTACTGAAGGCTACAGGCATACGCCATCACGCCTGACTAGATTTTTGTATTTTTTATAGAGATGGAGGTCTCACTATGTTGCCCAGGCTGGTCTCAACCCCATGGGCTTAAGCAATCTTCCCACCACGGCCTCCCAAAGTGCTGGGATTTCCGGTGTGAGCCACCATGCTTGACCCTGTGTTTACTTATTAAGTCCTCTAAACATTGCTACACAGTAGTGATTGCCATGATCCTACCCATTTTTCACTTTCCTTGAGAAAATGAAGGCAAGGCATATTTAGAAAACCTGTCTGAGGTCTTGAAGATCACAAACAGCTGTCAGCTTCCGGAAGCCCAGCTCTTCACTGCCGCGCTCAGTTGCCTATCCTAGAAAGAATAAGAAAGTGAGGGGGCCCAGTGTGGTGCCTCACGCCTGTAATCCCAGCACTTTGGGAGGCCGAGGCGGGCGGATCACGAGGTCAGGAGATGGAGACCATCCTGGCTAACACGGTGAAACCCCGTCTCTACTAAAAATACAAAAAATTAGCCGGGCGTGGTGGCGGGCGCCTGTAGTCCCAGCTACTCGGGAGGCTGAGGCAGGAGAATGGCGTGAACCCGGGAGGCGGAGCTTGCAGTGAGCTGAGATCGCGCCACTGCACTCCAGCCTGGGTGACAGAGCAAGACTCTGTCTCAAAAACAAACAAACAAAAAAGAAAGAAAGAAAGAAAAGAAAATGAGGGGCCGGGCGTGGTGATTCATGCCTGTAATCCCAGCACTTTGGGAGGCCGAGGCGGGTGGATCACCTGAGGTCAGGAGTTCGAGATCAGCCTGACCAACATGGTGAAATCCCATCTCTACTAAAAATACACAAAAAATTAGCCAGGCGTAGTGGCAGATGCCTGTAATTCCAGCTATTCTGGAGGCTGAGGCAGGAAAATGGCTGGAACCTGGGAGGCAGAGGTTGCAGTGAGCTGAGATCGTGCCATTGCACTCCAGCCTGGGCAACAAGAGCGAAACTCTGTCTCAAAAAAAAAAAAAAAATTGAGGGATGGAGGGAATAGGAAGGATGAATGAAAATGTGCAGGAGCAGTTTTCAGACTGCACATTTCAATAAATTCTTTTTCATTTTTTCTTTTTTTTTTTTTTGAGATGGAGTTTTGCTCTTGTCGCCCAGGCTGGAGTGCAATGGCGCGATCTCAGCTCACTGCAACCTCTGCCTGCCGGTTTCCTGTGATTCTCCTGCCTCAGACTCCTGTGTAGCTGGGATTACAGGCATGTACCACCACGCCCGGCTAATTTTGTAGTTCTAGTAGAGATGGGGTTTCACCATACCCTTTTGGCCAGGCTGTTCTTGAACTCCTGACCTCAGGTGATCCACCCGCCTCAGCCTCCCAAAGTTCTGGGATTACAGGCATCCACTTCCCCCGACCTTTTTCTACCTTCTTAATATGGACACCCTACCATAATTTGGAGGTACTTTTTTTTTTGTTTCCTTTTTGAGACAGACTCTCGCTCTGTTGCCCAGGCTGGAGTGCAGTGGTGTGGTCTCGGCTCACTGCAACCTCTGCCTCCGGGGCTCAAGCAATTCTCTTGCCTCAGCCTCCTACAGGCACCTGCCACCATGCCAGGCTAATTTTTAGTACAGATAGGTTTTCACCATGCTGGCCAGGCTCTTCTTGAACTCCTGATCTGAGATCCACCTGCCTCGGCTTCCCAAAGTGCTGGGATTACAGGTGTGAACCACCACGCCCAGCCACAGTACCTTTTTTAAAAAATTTGTATTTTCTTTTATTTATTTATTTATTTATTTAGAGATGAAGTCTCTCTGTTGTTGCCCAGGCTGGAGTGCAGTGGCATGATCTTGGCTCACTGCAACCTCTGCCTCCCGGGTTCAAGTGATTCTCCTGCCCTAGCTGGGATTATAGGCTCCCGCCACCATACCAAGCTAATTTTGTATTTTTAGTAGACACGGGGTTTCACCACCTTGGCCGGGCTGGTCTTGGACTCCTGACCTCGGGTGATCCACCTGCTTTGGCCTCCCAAAGTGCTGGAATTACAGGCGTGAGACACTGTGCCTGGCCCACTCCCCCTCTTTTTTAACTAGAGACTGGGTCTCACTTTGTACACCGGGCCGGTCTTGAACTCCTGGGCTCCATGGCCCTCCCGCCTTGGCCTCCCAAAGTACTGAGATTACAGGTGTGAGCCACTATGCCTGGCCCATTATTTTATATTTTAATATAAATATTTACATTTATAAATTTCCATCAGTGCAACAAACACATTTCAACAGCAATTTCACCACCACTCAGTTCTAGCATTTTTAAAAATGCCCTTTGTTATTTCTTCTTTGACCTTGGAATTATATAGAATATTTTTTTAAGACTCAAATGCATGGGATTAAGAAATTATCTTTTGTGCTGGGCATGGTGGCTCACGCCTGTAATCCCAGCACTTTGGGAGGCCGAGGCAAGCGGATCACGAGGTCAGGAGATCGAGACCATCCTGGCTAACACGGTGAAACCCCGTCTCTACTAAAAATTAAAAAAATTAGCTGGGCACGGTGGCGGGTGCCTGTAGTCCCAGCTACTTGGGAGGCTGAGGCAGGAGAATGGCGTGAATCCGGGAGGCGGAGCTTGCAGTGAGCCACCATCACACCACTGCACTCCAGCCTAGGTGACAGAGCAAGACTCCATCTCAAAAAATAAAAATAAAAATAAAAATAAAACTATCTTTTGTTACAATTCTTCTAACTTTTGTTCTATTGAGGAAATTGAGACTGAAATGTTAAGTAGCAACCCCAAGGTCACATAACTCATGGGTGGCTGGGGAGAAGGATGGATTTAAACAGACTTCTGGTTGAGCGCGGTGGCTTAAGGCTGTAATCCCAGCACTTTGGGAGGCTGAGATGGGTGGATCACTTGAGGTCAGGAGCTCGAGACTAGCCTGGCCAACATGGTGAAATCCCGTCTCTACTAAAAATACAAAAGTTAGCTGGGTGTGGCGGCAGGCACCTGTAATCCCAGCTACCCAGGAGGCTGAGGGAGGAGAATTGCTTGAACCCGGGAAGCAGAGGTTGCAGTGAGCTGAGATCTCGCCACTGCACTCCAGCCTGGGTGATAGAGGGAGACAACATCTCAAAAAACAAAACGAAAGAAACAAACAAACAAAAAAAACAAGAAACACCAGACTTCTGTTGGAATAAGTGAGTTTGGTTCGGGTAGATGGAACCTGCAAAGGGGTTTGGAGATCCAAAAGAGGAACTACGTGGTTAGAACAGAGTATCGGATGAACTGATAAGAAACCACAATTCAAAAACAATTCAACAAAATGCCCAGGTCTGTGAAAGCCTGTCTACACCAGGCCTTGGGTCTCTGTGTACATTGCCTGCTTCTGACAAGGCTCTGCAGCCGGGAGTCGGCTCCCAGGGTTGCATGGCTGGGAACAACAGAAGCTCAGGAGCGGACCTAAAACGGAGCAGTTGGGTAAAATGAAGCTGTCTCCATTTACTTTCTACAGACAGACATCCATGAGAGGATGAGGAGGTGTGCTTGCCTCCTGGTCAAGCACTAATTTTTTTTTCCAAGCACTAATTTTAATTTTTTTATTTTTTGTAGAAACAGGGTCTCAGAGTATTTGCTTTGGCAGCACATACACTAAAATTGGAAATGGGGGTCTTGCTATGTTGCCCAGGCTGGACTTGAGCTCCTGGGCTCAAGGGATCCTCCCACCTCAACCTCCTAAAGTGCTATCCACTCTGACCTTGTGATCCACCTGCCTCAGCCTCCCAAAGTGCTGGTGAGGGAAGAGAGAAACCGTCTCATATTGTTTTATATTGTTTTATACTCAGTACTTGTTTTAGAAAAAAAACAAGGAGGCCGGGCACGGTGGCTCACGCCTGTAATCCCAGCACTTTGGGAGGCCAAGGCGGGTGGATCACAAGGTCAGGAGTTTGAGACCAGCCTGGCCAACATGGTGAAACCCCGTCTCTATTAAAAATACAAAAATTAGCCGGGCATGGTGGCGTGCGCCTGTAATCCCAGCTACTCGGAAGGATGAGGCAGCAGAATTGCTTGAATCCAGGAGGCGGAGCTTGCAGTGAGCCGAGATTGTGCCACTGCACTCCAGCCTTAGCGACAGAGCAAGACTCTGTCTCAAAAAAAAAAAAAAAGAAAAAGAAAAAAACAAGGAAGTGAAACCAAAGGCAGGTAGCCCGGCGCCAGGCACCAGACCCAAAACCAGACCCGAAACCAGGCCTGGGCCTGCCTGGCGTAAACCTAGTAGATAAAAATCAACTCATGACTTAGAACCCGATGTTATCCATAGATTCCAGGCATTGTATAGAAGAACACTGTGAAACTCCCTGCCCTATTCTTTCTCTCTGACCAGCAGTGCACGAAACCCCTGTTATGTATCCCCTAGATTGCTCAATCATGACCCTTTCATGCGCAGTCTTTAGTGTTGTGAGCCCTTAAAAGGGACAGAAACTGTGCACTCGAGGAGCTTGGATTTTAAGACAGTAGCTTGCCGATGCTCCCAGCTGAATAAAGCCCTTCCTTCTACAACTCGGTGTCTGAGAGGTTTTTGTCTGTGGCTCGTCCTGCTACACTGGGATTACAGGCGTGAGCCACTGTGCCTGGCCACTAGTTATTATTATTATTATTATTTGAGACAGAGTCTCACTCTGTCCCTTGGGCTGGAGTGCAGTGGCCTGATCTTGACTCACTGCAACCTTTGCCTCCCGGGTTCAAGCGATTCTCCTGCCTCAGCCTCCAGAGTAGCTGGGATTACAGGCATGCACCACTATGCCCAGCTAGCTAACTTTTTGTATTTTTAGTAGAGACAGGGTTTCACCATGTTGGCCAGGCTGGTCTTGAACTCCTGACCTTGTGATTCGCCCACCTCGGCGTCCCAAAGTGCTGGGATTAGAGGCGTGAGCCACTGCACCCGGCAATACTAGTTATTGTTAATGCTATTATTGTTACTGACATGTTCATTTTTACCTAGCCACTTTATTTTCCCACCTCTTTCTCCCTACTTCTCCTAAGTGTCAATGTTAGATAAGTCTGAAATTCTCTTTCCCTGTCCCTCTCTGTCTCTCTCTCCTTCTTTGTCTTTCTTTCACCTGAGACCCATAATCCTGGAGATAGCAAGTGCCTCAGGGAGAAAATCCCAAACCAAGCGATTCTCCTGCCCTAGCCTTCCAAGTAGCTGGGATTACAGGCTCCTGCCACCATACCAAGCTAATTTTGTATTTTTAGTAAAGACACGGTCTCACCACCTTGGCCAGGCTAGTCTCGGACTCCTGACCTCAGGTGATCCACCCACCTGGGCCTCCCAAAGTGCTGGAATTACAGGCGTGAGACACCGTGCCCGGCCCCCTCCCCATCTTTTTTAAATAGAGACTGGGTCTCACTTTGTACACCGGGCCAGTCTTGAACTCTTGGGCTCCATGGCCCTCCAGTGTGGAGGAGAGAAAATGGATTCCCTCCACCCTCCTAGGTTCTTTGGATGGGCTATGAATTACATTGACACAAAACAGTTTGACAGAAGAAAAACCAGATTCAATTATGTATGCACAGGAGTCCCACAAAAATGTGAGACTGGAGGAAGGGCCAGATGATTGAAGCTCATCTAGCTGCCTGAGCTACAGAAAGGAGTATAAGAGTGTAGGGTGCAGTGGCTCACGCCTGTGATCCCAGCAGTTTGGGAGGCCAAGGTGGGTGGATCACCTGAGGTCAGGAGTTTGAGACCAGCCTGGCCAACATGGTGAAACCCCATCTCTGCTAAAAATACAAAAATTAGCTGGTGTGGTGGTGTGTGCCTGTAATCCCAGCTACTCCGGAGGCTGAGGCAGGAGAATCACTTGAACCCGGGAGGAGGAAACTGCAGTGAGCTAAGATCGCACCATTGTACTCCAGCCTGGGCTTCAAAGGGAGACTCCATCTCAAAAAAAAAAAAAAAAAGAAGAAGAAGAAGAAAGGAGTAGGGGTGTCCGTCCCAGTGGCTCACGGTCTGTAATCTCAACACTTTGGGAACCGAAATGGGTGGATCACCTGACGTCGGGAGTTTGAGACTAGCCTGGACAACAGGGTGAAACCCAGTCTCCACTAAAAATACAAAAATTAGCCAGGTGTGGTGGTGTGCCCTGTAATCCCAGCTACTTGGGAGGCTGAGACAGGAGGATTACTTGAACCCGGGAGGTGGAGGTTGCAGTGGGCCAAGATCACGCCACTGCACTGCAGCCTGGGAGATAGAGGGAGACCCTGTCTCAAAATAAAATAAATAAATAAATAAATAAATACATACATACATAAATGAAAAGGCGTAGAGACTTGGAGCTTCTGGGGGTGGTGGAGGCAAATTAAGGTATGATAAAAGGGGGAAAAGTTGCTGGGTTCACGCCTGTAATTCCAGCACTTTGGGAGGCCAAGGCAGGTGGATCACCAGAGGACAGGAGTTCGAGACAAGCCTGGCCAACATGGTGAAACCCCGTTTCTACTAAAAATGCAAAAAATTAGAAGGCGTGGTGTTGGGTGTCAGTGATCCACCTGCCTCGGCCTCCCAAAGTGCTGATATTATAGGCGTGAGCCACTGCGCCCGGCCTTTTTTTTTTTTTGAGGGAGAGTCTTGCTCTGTCTCCCAGGCTGGAGTGCAAAGGCACAATCTCAGCTCACTGCAACCTCCGCCTCCCGGGTTCAAGTGATTCTCCTGCCTCAGCCTCCCGAGTAGCTGGTATTACAGGCACCTGCCACCGCGCCCAGCTAATTTTTGTATTTTTTTTTAGTAGAGATGGGGTTTTGCCATGTTCACCAGGGTGGTCTCAAAGTCCTGACCTCAAGTGATCCGCCTGCCTTGGCCTCCCAAAATCCTGGAATGACAGGCATGAACCACCATACCCAGTCCTGTTTTTCCTACTTTCACACTCAACACAGAATACTTCACCAAAAATGTATGTTTCTCCCCACCAACAACCAGTTCTCCAGCAGAGACCAGCTGGGTGTCCTCTCCTTTGATTTAGTTCTGACACTCCCTACCTGGGGACAGCATCAGATCCCAAAGGTTCAGGGCTGAGTCCCACAAGACTGACTGACTTCCTTCCTTCCTTCCTTGTCCCACAAGACTGACTTCCTTTCCCTCCTTCCCTTCCCTCCTTCCCTCCTTCCCTCCTTCCTTCCTTTCTCTCCCTCTGTTGCCCAGGCTGGAGTGCAGTTGCGAGATCATGGCTCACTGTAGCCATGACCTCCCAGTCTCAAGTGATCCTCCTGCCTTGGCCTCCTGAGTAGCTGGGACTACAGGCATGCACGATCACAGTTGGCTATTTATTTATTTATTTATTTATTTTTGAGACACAGTCTTGCTCTGTCATCCAGGCTGGAGTGCAGTCCTGTCATCTAGGCTGGAGTGCATTTTTGCAATACAAAAATTAGCCAGGCATGGGAGCGAATGTCTATAATCCCAGCTACTTGGGAGGCTGAGGCTCGACAATCCCTTGAACCCAGGAGGTTGAGGATCACAGCTCACTGCAACCTCAGTCTTGCTGTGTCGCCCAGGCTGAAGTGCAGTGGCACGATCTTGGCTCACTGCAACCTACGACTCCGGGATTCACGTCATTCTCCTGCCTCAGCCTCCCGAGTAGCTGGGACCACAGGCGCCCACGACCTCCTGGCTAACTTTTGTATTTTTTGTAGAGATGGGGTTTCGCCATGTTAGTCAGGCTGGTCTGACCTCAAATGATTCACCCACCTCAGCTTCCCAACATGCTGGGCTTACAGCCACTGTGCTCAGTCGAAATTCTGTATATTTGATCAAGAAGAGGTTTCATCATGTTGTCCAGGCTGGTCTGGAACTCTTGAACTCAAGCAATCCACCTACCTGGGCTGCCCAAAGTTCGGGGATTCCAGGCATGTGCCACCATGCCTGGCCCAAGGCTGCTCTTCCTAAAGAAGAAAATTATTCCAATGATTTTATTTATTTATTTTTGAGACGGAGTTTCACTCTTGTTGCCCAGGCTGGAGTGCAATGGCATGATCTTGGCTCACTGCAACCTCTGCCACCCGGGTTCAAGTGATTCTCCTGCCTCAGCCTCCTGAGTAGCTGGGATTACAGGCACGCACCACCACACCCAGCTAATTTTTTTGTATTTTAGTAGAGACGGGGTTTCTCCATGTTGGTCAGGCTGGTCTCAAACTTCGGACCTCAGGTGATCCGCCAGCCTTGGCCTCCCAAAGTGCTGGGATTGCAGGCGTGAGCCACCGCGCCCGGCCACCAATGATATTTTTTAAAAGCAAGTAAGGACGAGCTGGGCATGGTGGGTTCTTGAATCTCATACCAGAAAGAATTCAGGGCGAGACTATGGAGTAAAGTGGAAGCAAGCTTATTAGGAAAGTGAAGGAGTAAAAGAATAGCTACTCCATAGACAGCAGCCCATAGGGCTGCTAGTTGCCCTTATTTTTTTTGAGATGGAGTTTTGCTCTTGTCGCCCAGGCTGGAGTGCAGTGGCGTGATCTTGGCTCACTGAAACCTCTGCCTTGAATCACTTCAGTTCAAGTGATTCTCCTGCCTCAGCCTCCTGAGTAGCTGGGATTACAGGTGCCTGCCATCACGTCTGGCTAATTTTTGTATTTTTAGTAAGAGATGGGGTTTCACCATGTTGGCCAGGCTGATCTTGACCTCCTGAGCTCAGGTGATATGCCCGCCTCGGCCTCCCAAAGTGTTGGGATTACAGGCGTAAGCCACCACGTCCGGCCTCGGTTGCCCTTTTTTTTTTTTTTTTTTTTTTTTGAGACGGAGTCTCGCTCTTTCACCAGGCCAGAGTGCAGTGGCACTATCTCGGCTCACTGCAAGCTCCGCCTCCTGGGTTCAGGCCATTCTCCTGCCTCAGCCTCCCGAGTAGCTGGGACTACAGGCGCCCGCCACCGCACCCAGCTAATTAGTTGTATTTTTTTTTAGTAGAGATGGGATTTCACCGTGTTAGCCAGGATGGTCTCAATCTCCTGACCTCATGATCCACCCGCCTCGGCCTCCCAAAGTGCTGGGATTACAGGCGTGACCACCGCGCCCGGCCGGTTGCCCATTTTTATGGTTATTTCTATGGATATGCTAAACAAGGGGTGGATTATTCATGCCTCCCCTTTTTAGACAGCATAGGGTAACTTCCTGACATTGCCATGGCATTTGTAAACTGTCATGGGGCTGCTGGGAGTGGAGCGGTGAGGACAACCAGAGGTTACTCTCGTCACTATCTTGGTTTTGATGGAGTTTGACTGGATGCTTTATTTATTTTTATTTATTTTTTATTTTTTTGAGACGGAGTCTCGCTCTGTCACCCAGGCTGGAGTGCAGTGGCGCGATCTCCGCTCACTGCAAGCTCCATCACCCGGGTTCACGCCGTTCTCCTGCCTCAGCCTCCCGAGTAGCTGGGACTACAGGCGCCCGCCACCACGCCCAGCTAATTTTTTGTATTTTTTTTTTTTAGTAGAGATGGTTTCACCGTGTTAGCCAGGATGGTCTCAATCTCCTGACCGTGTGATCCACCCGCCTCAGCCCCCGAAAGTGCTGGGATTACAGGTGTGAGCCACCGCGCCCGGCCTGGCTGGATTCTTTATTGCTAAGGGAGGAGACCACCCCTCATATTGTCTTATGCCCAATTTCCACCTCCAAAGAAAGAAAAAGTAAAAACTAAAAGGCAGAAATGAAATCCACAAGCAGACAGCCCCGCGCCCCAGGAATGAAATCCACAAGCAGACAGCCCCGCGGCCCAGGAATGAAATCCACAAGCAGACAGCCCGGCGCCACACCCTGGGCCTGGTAGTTAAAGATTGACCCCTGACCTAATCGGTTATCTATAGATTACAGACATTGTATAGAAAAGCACTGTGAAAATCCCTATCCTGTTTTGTTTGGATCTGATTACCAGTGCATGCAGCCCCCAGTCACGTACCCCCTGCTTGCTCAGTCGATCACGACCCTCTCACGCACACCCCCTTAGAGTTGTGAGCCCTTAAAAGGGACAGGAATTGCTCACTTGGGGATCTCGGCTCTTGAGACGGGAGTCTTGCCGATGCCCCTGGCCGGATAAACCCCTTTCTTCTTTAACTCGGTGTCTGAGGAGTTTTGTCTGTGGCTGGTCCTGCTACATTGCTACCTGTGTTATCAGCAAGGTCCTTATGACCTGTATCTTGTGCTGACTTATCTCATCCTGTGACTTAGAATGCTTTTTTTTTTCTTTTTACTGCAACCTCCGCCTCCCCGGCTCAAGCGATTCTCCTGCCTCAGCCTCGCAAGTAGGTGGGATTACAGGCACGAGCCACCACGCCTGACTAATTTTTGTATTTTCAGTAGAGACGGGGTTTCACCGTGTTGGCCAGGCTGGTCTCAAACTCTACTTCGGGTAATCCACCCGCCTCGGCCTCCCAAAGTGCTGGGCCACCGTGCCTGTCATTTTTGTTTTTTTTGGAGAATGCCTTAACTGTCTGGGAATGCAGCCCGGTAGGTCTCAGCCTTATTTTAGTCAGCTCCTATTCAAGATGGAGTTGCCCTGGTTACACGCCTCTGACAGTAGGTCCGTTGCCCAATGCACGCTGTGAGTCAATTTGCCGGGTCACTGTGTTGCAGAAGAGAAGGAAGTTTAATCACAGGGCTGAGGAATGAGGAGATGGGAGGAAACCTCCAATCCATCTCCCCCAGAAGTTTGGGTCTAGGGTTTTTTTTTTTTTTGAGATGGAGTTTTGCTTTGTCACCCAGGCTGGAGTGCAGTGGCAGGATCTTTGCTCACTGCAACCTCCGCCTCCCAGGTTCAAGTAATTCTCTTGCCTCAGCCTCCTGAGTAGCTGGGGTTACAGGCACCCGCTACCACGCCCGACTAATTTTTTGTGTTTTTAGTAGAAACGGGGTTTCACTATGTTGGCCAGGCTGGTCTTGAACTCTTGACCTCAGGTGATTCACCTGCCTTGGCCTCCCAAAGTGCTGGAGTTACAGGTGTGAGCCTCTGCACCCGGCCGGGGCTAGGGTTTTTAAGTGTTTTGGTGTGGGCCAGAGTGTGGCCATGCTGACTGCTGGCGGAGACAGGGGCATGAAGACGCAGTGTTCTCATGCTGATCCCATTCCTCACTGGGGTCTTCAAACTGGTTAGTGTCAGCTATTTGGCTGGAATTCAAGGTCTGAAAAACATCTGAAACCATCCTTAAACAAAAGCCTTATAATTCTAATGTCCCAGAGTTTATCTGTAGGAACCGTGCAGATACAAATTTGTCTAATGGGGCCGGGCGCGGTGGCTCACGCCTGTAATCCCAGCACTTTGGGAGGCCTAGGCGGGAGGATCACGAGGTCAGGAGATCGAGACCATCCTGGCTAACATGGTGAAACCGCGTCTCTACTAAAAATACAAAAAAAATTAGCCAGGCATGGTTGCAGGCACCTGTAGTCCCAGCTATTCGGGAGGCTGAGGCAGGAGAATTGTGTGAACCCGGGAGGCGGAGCTTGCAGTGAGCAGAGATTGCGCCACTGCCCTCCAGCCTGGGCGACAGAGCGAGACTCCGTCTCAAAAAAAAAAAAAAATTCGTCTAATGACCCTGCTGTCAGAAATCCTATCTACAGCAATGATGAGGAGGCAAAAGTGCAGTGTCTAGAGCCACGTGATACACAGCAGCCAGGATGTGGGCCAGAGTGCAGCCTGATTCACATTTTTTCATTTTTATTTTTTTTACTAAAAGTGGGTTTTCATTTTTTGTTTTGTTTTTGTTTTTGTTTTTTGTTTTTTGAGATGGAGTCTCACTCTGTTGCACCCAGGCTGGAGTGCAGTCGTGCGACCTCGGCTCACTGCAACCTCTGCCTCTGCCTCCCGGGTTCAAACAATTCTGCCTCAGCCTCTCGAGTAGCTGGGATTACAGGCGTTGAACTACCATGCCCCGCTAATTTTTGTATTTTTGTAGAGACGCAGTTTCACCATGCTGGCTGGGCTGGTCTCAAACTCCTGACCTTAAGTGATCCATCTGCCTCAGCCTCCCAAAGTGCTGGGATTACAGGCCTGAGCCACTGTGCCTGGTCTACAAAGGATATTTTTGTGGGGAAAAGAAAGAGAGATCAGATTGTAACTGTGTCTGTGTAGAAAGAAGTAGACACAGGAGACTTCATTTTGTTCTGTACTAAGACAAATTCTTCTGCCTTGAGATGCTGTTAATCTATGACCTTACCCCCAACCCTGTGCTCTCTGAAACATGTGCTGTGTCCACTCAGGGTTAAATGGATTAAGGGCTGTGCAAGATGTGCTTTGTTAAACAAATGCTTGAAGGCAGCATGCTCCTTAAGAGTCATCACCACTCCCTAATCTCAAGTACCCAGGGACACAAACACTGCGGAAGGCCGCAGGGACCTCTGCCTAGGAAAGCCAGGTATTGTCCAGGGTTTCTCCCCATGTGATAGCCTGAAATATGGTCTCATGGGAAGGGAAAGACCTGACCGTCCCTCAGCCCGACACCAGTAAAGGGTCTGTGCTGAGGCGGATTAGTAAAAGAGGAAGGAACACCTCTTTGCAGTTGAGACAAGAGGAAGGCATCTGTCTCCTGCTCGTCCCTGGGCAATGGAATGTATGGGTGTAAACCCCGATTGTATATTCCATATACTGAGATAGGGGAAAACCGCCTTAGGGCTGGAGGTGGGACATGCGGGCAGCAATACTGCTCCGTAAGGCATTGAGATGTTTATGTGTATGCATATCTAAAGCACAGCACTTAGTTCTTTACCTTGTCTATGATGCAGAGACCTTTGTTAACGTGTTTATCTGCTGACCTTCCCTCCACTATTATCCTATGACCCTGCCACATCCCCCTCTCTGAGAAACACCCCAAAATGATCAATAAATACTAAGGGAACTCAGAAGCTGGCGGGATCCTCCATATGCTGAATGCTGGTCCCCTGGGTCCCCTTATTTCTTTCTCTATACTTTGTCTGTGTCTCTTTCTTTTCCAAGTCTCTCCTTCCACCTAACGAGAAATGCCCACAGGTGTGGAGGGGCAACCCGCCCTTTCATATTTTAAAGGATACAAATGAACAGCCAAGGAAGAGATGCGTAGGGGGAGGTTTAGAGGAGTCCGAAGTGCAGGAGCTTCTGTCCCTGTGGACCTGGGGTGCACCACAGTCCTGGCACACGAATGCACCCGGGTTCACCAACCAGGAAGCTCTTCTGAACTCTTTCCTGGTTTTTTTTTTTTTTGAGACAGTCTAACTCCGTCACCCAGGCTGGAGTGCAGTGGCGCTATCTCAGCTCACTGCAGCCTCTGTCTCCTGCGTTCAAGTGATTCTCATGCCTCAGCCTCCTGAGTAGCTGGGTCTACAGGTGCACTCCACCACGCCTGGCTAATTTTTTATTTTTTGTAGAGCCAGGGTCTTGCTATTTTGTCCAGACTGGCCTAGAATTCTTGGGCTCAAGCAATCCTCCCATCTAGGCCTCCCAAAGCGTTGGGATTACGGGCATGAGCCACAGGACACCCGGCCCAAACCCTTTTCTTTTGGGGTTTATGGAGGATTCCTTAGGTGGGCAATGCTGATCACATAGCTGGCAGTTCATAATCAATTCAACCTTCAGCCCCTCTCCCCTCCCTGGAGGCCACTTGGAGCCTGGGGCTGAAAGTTCCCAATGTCTAATCACTGACGGTTTCTTTGGCAGCCAGTCCCTCGCACTTGTGGGGTTATCTAGGGGCTTTCCAAAAGTCACCTCATTTACATAAACTCAGGTGTGGTTGCAGGGCCTGGGTATGTATAACAAGAGATACCTCTTTCATGTTTATCTCTCCATAGCTGCTCTAGGACTAAAGGCCAAATGTTTTAACAAAATATACTCTCTCTCTCTTTTTGTCAGCTAGAATATAATTTATTTTTATTGTTTTTATTTTCTTTTTCTTCAGAGAGGGAGTCTCGCCATATTGCCCAGGCTGGTCTTGAACTCCTGGACTCAGGCAGTCCTCCCGCCTCAGCCTCCCAAAGTGCTGGGATTACATTCATGAACCACTGCGCCTGGCCATCTTTTTTTTTTTTTTTTAAAGATGGAGTCTCTGTCGCCCAGGCTGGAGCGCAGTGGTGCAATCTCGGCTCACGGCAACCTCCAACTCCCAGGTTCAATCAATTCTTACGCCTCAGCCTCCTGAGTAGCTGGGATTACAGGTGCACACCACCATGCCTGGCTAATTCTTTATTTTTAGTAGCCAGGGGTTTTTTGCCATGTTGCCCAGGTTGGTCTCGAACTGCTGACCTCAGATGATCCACCTGCCTCAGCCTTCCAAAGTGCAGGGATTACAGGTGTGAGCCACCATGCCAGGCCTCCATAGTGCCTATTTCTATAGATGGCATGCTGCAACTGATATATACATCTTCATTTGTGGGACCATTTGCTTCCATTAAATTAACAGTTTAAACTACCAAAATTCTGTGCTGAATGCTTTCCACAACATACACTGTTTTATTTAAAAACAATTTTAGGCCAGGTGCGGTGGCTCATGCCTGTAATCACCTGACATCAGGAGTTTGAGACCAGCCTGACCAATATGGTGAAACCCTGTCTCTACTAAAAATACAAAAAATTAGTTGGGCATGGTGGCATGTGCCTGCAGTCCCAGCTACTTGGGAAGCTGAGGCATCAGAATTGCTTGAACCTGGAAGGCAGAGGTTGCAAGAATGGAGATTGCACCACTGCACTCCAGCCTGGGCCACAGAGCAAGACTCCATCCAAAAAAAAAAATTAAATATCAGTTATCTATTTATTTTTTTGAGACTGGGTCTCACTCTGTGGCCTAGGCTGGAGTGAGATGGCCAGTCACAGCTCACTGCAGCCTCAAACTCCTGAGCTCAGGTGATCCTCCCACCTCAGCCTCCTGAATAGCTGGGATTACAGGTGCAGCCCATCATGTATGGCTAATTTTTTTGTTTTTGTTTTTGAGACAGTCTTGCTCTTGTCACCCAGGCTGGAGTGCAATGGCGTGATCGTGCCTCACTCACCCTCCACCTCCCTAGTTCAAGTGATTGTCCTGTCTCAGCCTCCCGAGTAGCTGGGATTACAGGCACCTGCCACCACACCTGGCTAATTTTTTGTATGTTTAGTAGAGACAGAGTTTCACCACGTTGGCCAGTCTGGTCTCCAACTCCTGACCTCAGGTGATCCACCCGCCTCGGCTTCCCAAATTGCTGGGACTACAGGCATGAGCTACCACGCCCAGCCTATGCATGGCTAATTATTAAATATTTTTGAAGAGATGGCATCTTGCTATGTTGCCTAGGCTGGTATCAAACTCCTGGCCCCTAGGGATCCACTGGCCTAGGCCTCTCAGCCTGCTGGGATTTATAGGCAGGAGGCACCACAGTTGGCCACAAAGTAGACTTATTGTATTTGTAACTTAGGAAGTCACGGGAGTTTTTGTCCTCTTTTTTTTTAATTTTTATTTATTTTTGTTTAATTTTTTTTCTCTACAAGAGTTTTTAAAGCTGGGAGCCAGGTACCCTGCAAAACCCAAAATGTGTATTTCCTGTTCTGTCGCCTATCACACCTGGCCCGGGTGGTCTAGGAAGGGAATTGCACATTAATCTCACCTGGGGAGATTCAGCAAGCCGTAATTCTCCAAAGCCCACTGAAGCCCAATTACAGCCAAATCCCTGAGGATGGGGCCCAGGTGATGTCAAGGTGAGCCTGAGGTCAGTGGTTGGGAGCCACCCAATGTTAATCTCAGTGGGGCGGTTCCACCCTGGGCGGGAAAGCTGTCTCTCCACCTAGCGTACCAAGGGCCAGAGACCTCCCCTTTTTATCCGTTTCCTTTGCAGGAAACACAGGCTGGAAGCAAGACCTGACCTGAGGGAGGTGAGTGCTGGTTCTTGCATCGATTTCTTTGTCTTCTCGTTTAAGGGAGAAGAAGCTATTGGTTGAGTTTCCACCATAGCCCTTCCCAAGCCTTAATGGTTGGTGCGAGGATGCTGGAAGGATCTTTGATTTTTTTTTTTTTGAGACGGAGTCTCCCTCTGTCGCCCAGGCTGGAGTGCAGTGGCGTGATCTTGGTTCGCTGCAAACTCCGCCTCCTGGGTTCACCCGCCATTCTCCTGCCTCAGCCTCCTGAGTAGCTGGGACTACAGGCACGTGCCACCATGCCCAGCTAATTTTTGTATTTTTAGTAGAGACGGGGTCTCACCATGTTGGCCAGGCTGGTCTTGAACTCCTGACTTTAGGTAATCTGTCTGCCTCGGCCTCCCAAAGTGCTGGGATTCCAGGTGTGAGCCACCACGCCTGGCCTAATGTCTTAAGGACTTCTATTCAAATATAGTTTAGAGGAGTTCAGGAGATTGAGACTAGCCTGGGCAACATGGTAAAACTCTGTCATTACAAAAAAATATAAGGCCAGGCACAGTGGTTCATGCCTGTTATCCCAACACTTTGGGAGGCCGAGGCGGGTGGATCACTTGAGGCCAGAAGTTTGAGACCAGCCTGCCCAAAATGGTGAAACCCTGTCTCTACTAAAAACACAAAAATTAGCCAGGTGTGGTGGTGCATGCCTGTAATCCCAGTTACTTGGAAGGTTGAGGCAGGAGAATAGCTTAAACCTAGGAGGGGGAGGTTGCAATGAGCTGAGATCGCGCCACTGCACTCCAGCCTGGGAGACAGAGTGCGACTCCGTCTCAAAAAACAAAGAAGGCCAGACCTTGTGCTGTGTCCAAGCTACTTGTGGGGTGAGGTGGGAGGATCACCTGAGCCAGGAGGTGGGGGCTGCAATGAGGTGTGATTGAGCCACTGCACTCCAGCCTGGATGAGATGAAGACCCTGTTTAAAAAAAAAAAAAAGTAGGCTGGGCGCGGTGGCTCACGCCTGTAATCCCAGCACTTTCAGATCACCTGAGGCCGGGAGTTTGAGACCAGCCTGACCAACATGGAGAAACCCCATCTCTACTAAAAATACAAAATTAGCTGGGCGTGGTGGCACATGCCTGTAATCCCAGCTACTCGGGAGGCTGAGGCAGGAGAATCACTTGAACCCGGGAGGCGGAGGTTGCGGTGAGCTGAGATTGCGCCACTGCACTCCAGCCTGGGCAACCAGAGTGAAATGCTGCATCAAAAAAAAAAAAAAATGTAAATGGCCAGATGCGGTGGCTCACGCCTGTGATCCCAGCACTTTGGGAGGCCGAGGCGGGTGGATCAGCTGAGGTCAGGAGTTCGAGGCCAGCCTGGCCAACATAGAGAAACCCTGTCTCGGCCGGGCGCGGTGGCTCACGCCTGTAATCCCAGCACTATGGGAGGCCGAGGCGGGCGGATCACGAGGTCAGAAGATCGAGACCATCCTGGCTAACACGGTGAAACCCCATCTCTACTAAAAATACAAAAAAAATTAGCTGGGCATAGTGGCGGGCGCCTGTAGTCCCAGCTACTTGGGAGGCTGAGGCAGGAGAATGGCGTGAACCTGGGAGGCGGAGCTTGCAGTGAGCCCAGATCGCGCCACTGCACTCCAGCCTGGGTGACAGAGCAAGACTCCATCTCAGAAAAAAACAAGAAACCCTGTCTCTACTAAAAATACAAAAACTAGCCCGGCGTGATGCGGTGCGCCTGTAATCCCAGCTTCTTGAGAGGCTGAGGCACTAGAATCACTTGAACCTGGGAGGTGGAGGTTGCAGTGAGTCGAGATTGTGCCACTGCACTCCAGCCTGGGCAACAGAGGGAGACTCCATCTCAAAAAAAAGAAAAAAAGAAAAAAATGTACTTGGGAAAAAAAATACTTGGCCAGGCCTGGTGGCTCATACCTGTAATCCCAGCACTTTGGGAGGCTGAGGTGGGCAGATCACCTGAGGTCAGGAGTTCAAGACCAGCCTGGCCAACATGGTGAAACCCCGTTTGTACTAAAAATACAAAAAAAATTAGGTGTGGTGGGGCATACCTGTAATCCCAGCTACTTGGGAGGCCGAGGCAGGAGAATCGCTTGAACCCGGGAAGAGGAGGTTGTGGTAAGCCTCGCACCATTGCACTCCAGCCTGGGCGACAGAGCAAGACTTTCTGAAAAAGAAAAAAAAAACCCTGAATTTTTCTTTTCTTTTCTTTTTTTTTTTTTTTTTGAGAGGGAGTCTCACTCGCCCAGGCTGGAGTGCAGTGGCGCGATCTTGGCTCACTGCAAGCTCCGCCTCCCAGGTTCAAGCCATTCTCCTGCCTCAGCCTCCCAAGTAGCTGGGACTACAGGCGCCCGCCACCATGCCCGGCTAATTTTTTTTTTGTATTTTTAGTAGAGACGGGGTTTCACCGTGTTAGCCAGGATGGTCTTGAGCTCCTCACCTTGTGATCTGCCCGCCTCGGCCTCCCATAGTGCTGGGATTACAGGCGTGAGCCACCGTGCCTGGCCAAAAAACCCTGAATTTTTCTAAGTACATCAAGCGTTGTCACTGCAAAAACGAAAGGCAACTATATGAAGCAGTGGATATGTTAATTAGCTGGATTGTGGTAATCATTTCACTGTATATATAACATCGCTCCATGCTGTACACTTTGACAAGTAAACGTTGTATATATTACTTTAAAAATACTTAAAAAATAGAGACAAGGTCTCCTTGTGTCGCCCAGGCTGGTCTGGAACTCCTGGGCTCTCATGCTCTTCCTGCTCCATCCTAAAATAGGATATATGTAATTATACCTCACTGAAGGGGTGGCCTGCCCCTCCACACCTGTGGGTGTTTCTTGTCAGGTGGGACGAGAGACTGAGAAAAGAAAGAGACACAGAGACAAAGTACACAGAAAGAAAAGTGGGCTCAGGAGACCCGCGCCGGCCGGGTCTCTGAGTTCCTTCAGTATTTATTGGTCATTATCTCTACCATCTCGGAGACGGGGATGTGGCAGGACAATAGGGTAACAGTGGGGAGAGGGTCAGCAGGAAAACATGTGAGCAAATGTCTGTGTCATAAACAAGGTTAGGAAATGTGCTGTGCCTTGATGTGCTCATACATAAACATATCTGGTGCATTAAAGAGCAGTATTGCTGCCAGCATGTGTCACCTCCAGCCCTAAGGCGGTTTTCCCCTATCTCGGTGGATGGAACATACCATCGGGTTTTACACCGAGACATTCCATTGCCCAGGGACGAGCAGGAGACAGATACCTTCCTCTTAACTGCAAAAAGGCCTTCCTCTTATACTAATCCTCTTCAGCACAGACCCTTTACGGGTGTCGGGCTGGGGTACGGTCTGGTCTTTCCCTTCCCACGAGGCCTTATCTCAGGCTATCACATGGGGAGAAACTTTGGACAATACCTGGCTTTTCTAGGCAGAGGTCCCTGCAGCCTTCCGCAGTGTATTGTGTCCCTGGGTGCTTGAGATTAGAGAGTGGTGATGACTTTTAACAAGCATGCTGCCTTCAAGCATCTGTTTAACAAAGCACATCCTGCATAGCCCTAAACCCACGTGTGACACAGCACATGTTTCTGGGAGCACAGGGTTGGGGCTAGGGTTACAGGTTAACAGCATCTCAAGGCAGAAGAATTTTTCTTAGTACAGAACAAAATGGAGTCTCTTATGTCTATTTCTTTCTACATAGACACAGTAACAGTCTGATCTGTCCTCCTTTTCCCCACACGTCACAGCTGGGGAAAAAGATTTGCTGTTCCCTCCAAGGGTAAAGCTGTCCACCTCTATCAGCACCCGGGCTTGGCAAGTCACTTTTTCTGTTATTTATTTTCCAGGCTGCCTCTTCCCCCCGCCCCCCCAACCCAGACGGAGTCTCGCTCTGTCGCCCAGGCTGGAGTGCGGTGGCGCGATCTCCGCTCACTGCAAGCTCCGCCTCCCGGGTTCCCGCCATTCTCCTGCCTCAGCCTCCCGAGTAGCTGGGACTACAGGCGCCCGCCACCACGCCCGGCTAATTGTTTGTATTTTTAGTAGAGACGGGGTTTCACCGTGTTAGCCAGGATGGTCTCGATCTCCTGACCTCGTGATCCGCCTGCCTCGGCCTCCCAAAGTGCTGGGATTACAGGCGTGAGCCACCGCACCCGGCCATTAGTTACTTACTTTTGAGACAGGGCCTCACTCTGTCACCCAGGCTGGCGTGCAGTGGCTGGCTCACTGCAACCTCCAAATCGTAGGCTCAAACAATCCTCCTGTGTCAGCCTCCCAAGTATCTGGGACTACGGGTATGTTCCACCAGGCCTGGCTAAGTTTTTTTTTTTTGAGATAGAGTTTCGCTCTTGTTGCCCAGGCTGGAGTACAATGGCGCTATCTCAGCTCACTGCAACCTCCGCCTCCTGGGTTCAAGCGATTCTCCTGCCTCAGCCTCCCACGTACCTGGGATTACAGGTTCCTACCACTACACTTGGCTAGCTTTTGTATTTTTAGTAGAGATGGGGTTTCACCATGTGGGCCAGGCGGGTCTCAAACTCCTGACATCAGGCGATCCACCTGCCTCAGCCTCCCAAAGTGCTGGGATTCCAGGCCTGAGCCACCATACCCGGCCAGTACAGTTATATTTATATCTGTCCTCTTGCTATTTGTTTTCAATGTGTCATTCAGTGGTGGGCTGAAATGTTAAACAAGTGGCTCTGAGGGTTGGTGGCGAGGAAGTCTTGGTTTGTAGTGTTTGCTGATTTGTTTTTTTGTTTGTTTGAGACAGAGTCTTGTTCTTGTTGCCGAGGCTCGAGTGCAATGGCGTGATCTCAGATCATGCAACCTCCACCTCCCAGGTTCAAGTGTGATTCTCCTGTCTCGGCCTCCTGAGTAGCTGGGATTACAGGCACCCGCCTGTAATTTCTGTATTTTTAGTAGAGATGGGGTTTCGCCGTGTTGGTCAGGCTGGTCTTGAGCTCCCGACCTCAGGTTATCCACCCGCCTTGGCCTCCCAAAGTGCTGGGATTACAGGCGTGAGCCACCGCGCCCTGCCGTGTTTGCTGATTTCTGTGGCATAAACACTCCCCTTGTGATTTTGTACTATCAGTGTGAAATCACAGCCCATGGACGTTGGTATAGGTACATATAGGAAGCCCCCATTAGGCAGCACGGGCTGGCCCTAGCATACCACTGACCCTTCATTCTTTGTATTCTTTTTTTTTTTTTTTTTTTTTTTTTTGAGACGGAGTCTCGCTCTGTCGCCCAGGCTGGAGTGCAATGGTGAGATCTCTGCTCACTGCAAGCTCCACTTCCCGGGTTCACACCATTCTCCTGCCTCAGCCTCCCGAGTAGCTGGGACTACAGGTGCCCGCCACCACGCCCTGCTAATTTTTTGTATTTTTTTAGTAGAGGCAGGGGTTTCACTGTGTTAGCCAGGATGGTCTCGATCTCCTGATATCGTGATCCATCCGCCTCGGCCTCCCAAAGTGCTGGGATTACAGGCGTGAGCCACCGTGCCCAGCCTTTTGTTCGTTCTTTTTACCAAGTTAGCCAGGCTGGTCTCGAACTCCTGGCCGCAGGCGTGAGCCACCGTGCTGGGCCAGATTTTCAGTCTCTTAATTCAGTCTTTGGAATATTTTACCACTCACTGTACAGCAGGAACAGTCTTGTTCTTGGCACACAGGAAACTGTGGTTTCATTTAATGATGGTAACTCGTGAACTGTTTTTCCTTTTTTCCCCCCAGTTCTTCAGCCTTAACCTAAGGTCTCATACTCGGAGCACTATGACATCGCCCCAGCTAGAGTGGACTCTGCAGACCCTTCTGGAGCAGCTGAACGAGGATGAATTAAAGAGTTTCAAATCCCTTTTATGGGCTTTTCCCCTCGAAGACGTGCTACAGAAGACCCCATGGTCTGAGGTGGAAGAGGCTGATGGCAAGAAACTGGCAGAAATTCTGGTCAACACCTCCTCAGAAAATTGGATAAGGAATGCGACTGTGAACATCTTGGAAGAGATGAATCTCACGGAATTGTGTAAGATGGCAAAGGCTGAGATGATGGGTAAGTAGAACCTGGGGTGTCCTGGTCATTTTTTTTTTTTTTTTTTTTTTTTTGAGATGGAGTCTCGTTCTGTCGCCCAGGCTGGAGTGTAAGGCTGGAGTGCAGTGGCGAGATCTGGGCTCACTGCAACCTCCGCCTCTGGGTTCAAGTGATTCTCCTATCTCAGCCTCCGGAGTAGCTGGGATTACAGGCGTGTTTCACCACACCTGGCTAATTTTTTTTTTTTTGTATTTTTAGTAGAGATGGGGTTTTGCCATGTTGGCCAGGCTGGTCTTGATCTCCTGACCTTGTGATCCGCCCACCTCAGCCTTCCAAAGTGCTGTGATTACAGGCATGAGCCACCATGCCTGGCTGACACTTTATGTACAATAATGTCTGATTTACGAAGTGTAAATTACTGTGTCAGGCTTACATCTAAGTATTTTACAGAGGACGGACAGGTGCAAGAAATAGATAATCCTGAGCTGGGAGATGCAGAAGAAGACTCGGAGTTAGCAAAGCCAGGTGGGTAAATACGGTCCTATGGTCATGAGTTTGGTGTTTGAGAGCATGCAAGGTGCATCACTTCTTCCTGGTTTTATTCATTTCTGGTAGTTTTTTTTTTTTTTGAGACGGAATCTTGCTCTGTAGCCCAGGCTGGAGTGTAGTGGCTCCGTCTCTGCTCATTGCAACCTCTGCCTCCCGGGTTCAAGCAATTCTCTGCCTCAGCCTCCTGAGTAGCCGGGATTACAGGCGGCCGCCACTACCCCCAGCTAATGTTTTGTATTTTTAGTAGAGATGGGGTTTCACTATCTTGGCCAGGCTGGTCTTGAACTCCTGACCTCAAGTGATCCACCCACCTTGGCCTCCCAAAGTGCCGGGATTACAAGCATGAGACACCGTGCCTGGCCCTCATTTCTGGTACTTGACAAAATAATTCAGAAAATCATCATCATCAACCTCAACTGTCCTATGGGCTGTCACTGCAGGTGAAAAGGAAGGATGGAGAAATTCAATGGAGAAACAGTCTTTGGTCTGGAAGAACACCTTTTGGCAAGGAGACATTGACAATTTCCATGACGACGTCACTCTGAGAAACCAACGGTTCATTCCATTCTTGAATCCCAGAACACCCAGGAAGCTAACACCTTACACGGTGGTGCTGCACGGCCCCGCAGGCGTGGGGAAAACCACGCTGGCCAAAAAGTGTATGCTGGACTGGACAGACTGCAACCTCAGCCCGACGCTCAGATACGCGTTCTACCTCAGCTGCAAGGAGCTCAGCCGCATGGGCCCCTGCAGTTTTGCAGAGCTGATCTCCAAAGACTGGCCTGAATTGCAGGATGACATTCCAAGCATCCTAGCCCAAGCACAGAGAATCCTGTTCGTGGTCGATGGCCTTGATGAGCTGAAAGTCCCACCTGGGGCGCTGATCCAGGACATCTGCGGGGACTGGGAGAAGAAGAAGCCGGTGCCCGTCCTCCTGGGGAGTTTGCTGAAGAGGAAGATGTTACCCAGGGCAGCCTTGCTGGTCACCACGCGGCCCAGGGCACTGAGGGACCTCCAGCTCCTGGCGCAGCAGCCGATCTACGTAAGGGTGGAGGGCTTCCTGGAGGAGGACAGGAGGGCCTATTTCCTGAGACACTTTGGAGACGAGGACCAAGCCATGCGTGCCTTTGAGCTAATGAGGAGCAACGCGGCCCTGTTCCAGCTGGGCTCGGCCCCCGCGGTGTGCTGGATTGTGTGCACGACTCTGAAGCTGCAGATGGAGAAGGGGGAGGACCCGGTCCCCACCTGCCTCACCCGCACGGGGCTGTTCCTGCGTTTCCTCTGCAGCCGGTTCCCGCAGGGCGCACAGCTGCGGGGCGCGCTGCGGACGCTGAGCCTCCTGGCCGCGCAGGGCCTGTGGGCGCAGATGTCCGTGTTCCACCGAGAGGACCTGGAAAGGCTCGGGGTGCAGGAGTCCGACCTCCGTCTGTTCCTGGACGGAGACATCCTCCGCCAGGACAGAGTCTCCAAAGGCTGCTACTCCTTCATCCACCTCAGCTTCCAGCAGTTTCTCACTGCCCTGTTCTACGCCCTGGAGAAGGAGGAGGGGGAGGACAGGGACGGCCACGCCTGGGACATCGGGGACGTACAGAAGCTGCTTTCCGGAGAAGAAAGACTCAAGAACCCCGACCTGATTCAAGTAGGACACTTCTTATTCGGCCTCGCTAACGAGAAGAGAGCCAAGGAGTTGGAGGCCACTTTTGGCTGCCGGATGTCACCGGACATCAAACAGGAATTGCTGCAATGCAAAGCACATCTTCATGCAAATAAGCCCTTATCCGTGACCGACCTGAAGGAGGTCTTGGGCTGCCTGTATGAGTCTCAGGAGGAGGAGCTGGCGAAGGTGGTGGTGGCCCCGTTCAAGGAAATTTCTATTCACCTGACAAATACTTCTGAAGTGATGCATTGTTCCTTCAGCCTGAAGCATTGTCAAGACTTGCAGAAACTCTCACTGCAGGTAGCAAAGGGGGTGTTCCTGGAGAATTACATGGATTTTGAACTGGACATTGAATTTGAAAGGTAAGAACTGTTTTCCCATCCCACGCTCCACTAGGAAGAGGCCAGCGTCTCCTTTGCCCTGTCGCTTACTGTCAGAATTTCCCTCTGGCTGGACTTCTTTCCAGCTTCATGTTCAACGTGGAGACACGACTTGGCAATTAGGAATTGGGGCTTTTTATTTTTGAGACGGAGTCTCGCTCTGTCCCCCAGGCTGGAGTGCAGTGGCGCGATCTTGGCTCACTGCAACCTCCGCCTCCCGGGTTCAAGTGATTCTCCTGCCTCAGCCTCCCGAGTAGCTGGGACTATGGGCGTGCACCACCTTGCCCGGTTAATTATTTTATTTTTTTGTAGAGATGGGGGTCTCAGTTTCTAGCCCAAGTTGGTCTTAAACTCCTGGGCTCAAGTGATCTTCCCACTTTGGCCTAGCAAAGTGTTGGGATTACAGGCATGAGCCACCTCACTCAGCCTTATCTATTATTTTATTTTTTTTGTAAAACTTAAGATCTATACTGGTAGCAAAGCATGTGATGCAATATTGTTTACTATAGACACTGTTTTAGGTTGGTGCAAAAGTAATTGTGGTTTTTGCCATTGAAATGTGGTTTGCAGATGCCCATCTCACCATGCAGGTACTAGTCCTAAGAGATGAACGTGTGTTCTCCTGCAGGTGCACTTACCTAACCATTCCGAACTGGGCTCGGCAGGATCTTCGCTCTCTTCGCCTCTGGACAGATTTCTGCTCTCTCTTCAGCTCAAACAGCAACCTCAAGTTTCTGGAAGTGAAACAAAGCTTCCTGAGTGACTCTTCTGTGCGGATTCTTTGTGACCACGTAACCCGTAGCACCTGTCATCTGCAGAAAGTGGAGTAAGTAGAAGCTCATCTTGCAAGGAAGACCCTGAACGATGACTAAGCTTCTTGTACTTTTGTTTTTTAAATTTGGAAATGTGCTGTTTCATCTCCATGTATTTGGGGATTTTCCAGCTGTCTTTTTTTTTTTTTTTTTTTTTGGTGAGACGGAGATTTACTCTTGTTGCCCAGGCTGGAGTGCAATGGCGCGATCTCAGCTCACTGCATCCTCCACCTCCCAGGTTCAAGCAATTCTCCTGCCTCAGCCTCCCGAGTAGCTGGGATTACAGGCATGTGCCACCTTGCCCGGCTAATTTTGTACTTTTAGCACAGACAGGTTTTCACCGTGTTGCCCAGGCTGATCTCGAGCTCCTGACCTCAGGTGATTTGCCTGCCTCGGCCTTCCAAAGTGCTGGGATTATAGGCATGAGCCGCTGCACCTGGCCCCTTTTTTATTTTTTATTTTTTCTGAGACAGAGTTTCACTCTGTCACCTAGGCGCTGGAGTGCAATGACTTAATCTTGTGTTTTTAGTAGAGGTGGAATTTTCTCCATCTTGGCCAGGCTTGTCTCGAACTCCTGACCTAAGGTGATGCGCCTGCCTCGGTCTTCGAAAGTGCTGGGATTACAGGCATGAGCCACCATGCCTGGCCCCAGCTATCTTTTTTTTGGTTTGTTTTGTTACCAAAACAAACCAAAAAGTAGGTACAAGTACAGGTTAGTTACACAGGTAACCGTGTGTCATAGGAGTTTGTTGTACAGATTATTTTGTCACCCAAGTATTAAGCCTAGTACCCCTTAGTTGTTTTTCCTGATCCTCTGCTTCTTGACTTTTTTTTTTTTTTTTGAGACAGTCTCGCTATGTTCCCCAGGCTGGAGTGCAGTGCAGCAATCTCGGCTCACTGCAAGCCCTGCCTCCCGGGTTCATGCCATTCTCCTGCCTCAGCCTCCCGAGTAGCTGGGACTACAGGCGCCCGCCACCACGCCCGGCTAGTTTTTTGTAATTTTAGTAAAGACGGGGTTTCACCGTGTTAGCCAGGATGGTCTTGATCTCCTGACCTCGTGATCCACCCGCCTCGGCCTCGGCCTCCCAAAGTGCTGGGATTACAGGCGTGAGCCACCACACCCGGCGAATTTTTTTTTCTTTTGAGATGGAGTCTTGCTCTGTTGCCCAGGCTGGAGTGCAGTGGTGCGGTCTCGGCTCACTGCAACCTCTGCCTCCTGGATTCAAGTGATTCTCCTACCTCAGCCTCCCGAATACCTGGGACTACAAGCATGCCCCTCCATGTGCAGCTAATTTTTGTATTTTTAGTAGAGACGGGGCTTCCCCATGTTGGCCAGGCTGGTCTCGAACTCCTGACCTCAGGCGATCTGCCTGCCTCGGCCCCAGCTAATTTATTTTTTGTAGAGATGGAGTTTCACCATGTTGCCCAGGTTGGTCTCAGACTCCTGACCTCAGGTTATCCTCCTGCCTCAGCCTCCCAAAGTGCTGGGGTTACAGACACGAGCCACTGCACCCGGCCAAGAACTTCTAATAATTTCTAAATGTGAAACAGCTTTTTGTTTATACATGCCTCCACACAATGTGAGTATTAATCACTCCAAGTGGAATCTCTTCTGCTTTTCCCTAGGATTAAAAACGTCACCCCTGACACCGCGTACCGGGACTTCTGTCTTGCTTTCATTGGGAAGAAGACCCTCACGCACCTGACCCTGGCAGGGCACATCGAGTGGGAACGCACGATGATGCTGATGCTGTGTGACCTGCTCAGAAATCATAAATGCAACCTGCAGTACCTGAGGTGGGTCTCACGGTCACGGCTCTCCCCAGCACCTGGAGTCCACTGCACCGTGTTGCTGGGGGATCTAGGAAAAAGGGTAACCACTCCAGATGCCGTCCCAGACAGGGAATGTATTCCTCAAACAGGCCTGTGTGGGGGAGTCGGCCTCTCCTCTTTCCCCCACCAGCTTGTCTTCTGTGTTGCATAACCAGCTATCCATGCAAAGAAACACCCCGAATTCTGTGCTGGGTTCCAGCTTTAGGGACATGCTATTCCTGACTGCACCTTGCCTAATTGTTGGGATTGAGAGCAGTGGCCCCCAGCCTTTTCTGCACCGCGGGCCGGTTTTGCACAAGACAGTTTTTTCCACAGACGGGTTTGGGGGTAGTTTTGGGATGAAACTGTTCGATCTCAGATCAGGCACAGGAGCTAATCGTTGGTGCCTGATCCTATGGAGTGCATGATCCTCGCACTTTGGGAGCCTGAGGAGAATGGATCATCAATCTCAGATCATCAGGAGTTAGGTATTCATAAGGAGCATGCAACCTTCTCTGCACTCAATGAGAATCTTTTTTTTTTTTTTTTTTCTTTGAGACAGTTTTATTCTTGTCACCCAGGCTGGAGCGCAGTGGCGCGATCTCGTTCACTGCAACCTCCGCCTCCTGGGTTCAAGCAGTTCTGCCTCAGCTTCCCGAGTAGCTGGGGTTACAGGCGTGCACCACCACGCCTGGCAAATGTTTGTATTTTTAATAGAGACAGGGTTTCACCATGTTGGCCAGGCTGGTCTCGAACTCCTGACCTCAAGTGATCCGCCTGTCTCGGCCTCCCAAAGTGCTAGGATTACAGGCATGAACCACTGCGCCTGGCCAGGATAAAATTTTTATTTTGAGTATTAAGCATCAATTTGCCCCTTCTAGTCCCAGCTACAGTGGATGCTGAGGTGGGAGGATCATTTGAGCCCAGGAGACAGGTTGTGGTGACCTGTGATCATGCCACTGCACTCCAGCCTGGGCAACAGAGCGAGATCCTGTCTCAAAAAAAAAATTTTTTTTTCCCCCCTGCAAAATCATCCACACAGGCCGTTTTGGTGAAACATTGCACAGAATTGTATTACAATCTCTTGGAGAAGTGGCTGGATGTTACCCTAATGGCCATGGGGATACTTGAAGAAGCAGAGGCAACATTAGATCTCTCCAGTAATTCAGGCCAGGGTTGGAGGCATGAGTAGAATGAGATAAACCAAAGACATAATGTCTTGGGAAGTGAAGCAGAAGAAGCTGATCTGGGCCAGGCGCGGTGGCTCACACCTGTAATCCCAGTACTTCGGTAGGCCAAGGTGGGTGGATCACCTGAGGTCAGGAGTTCAAGACCAGTGTGGCCAACATGGTGAAATCCCGTCTCTACTAAAAATACAAAAATTGGCGAATGCCTGTAATCCCAGCTACTTCGGAGGCTGAGGCAGGAGAATAGCTTGAACCCGGGAGGCGGAGGCTGCAGTGAGGTGAGATCACGCCTTTGCATTCCAGACTGGGCAACAGAGTGAAACTCTGTCTCAAAAAAAAAAAGCTGATAGGGTATACTCTGTCCTCCCAGAAGAATGACTTTTCCCACTCTTTTCACAGGTTGGGAGGTCACTGTGCCACCCCGGAGCAGTGGGCTGAATTCTTCTATGTCCTCAAAGCCAACCAGTCCCTGAAGCACCTGCGTCTCTCAGCCAATGTGCTCCTGGATGAGGGTGCCATGTTGCTGTACAAGACCATGACACGCCCAAAACACTTCCTGCAGATGTTGTCGTAAGTCTCCTCTTCCCATGGGCAGCTCTGGTTTAGTTCTGGGGCTATAGAAGAGAAAGGGTAACACCTGACTTACTGCGCCACCCACGTGGCGCCTCTTGCTGAAATAAACACCTGCTTCAGGCCCGGCACGGTGGCTCCTGCCTGTAATCTCAGCAGAGAGGTGGGCGGATCATCTGAGTTCAGGAGTTCGAGACCAACCTGGCCAACATGGTGAAACCCTGTTTCTATTAAAAATACCAAAAACAGGCCGGGTGCGGTGGCTCATGCCTGTAATCCCAGCACGTTGGGAGGCCAAGGCGGGGAGATCACGAGGTCAAGAGATCGAGACCATCCTGGCTAACATGGTGAAACCCCGTCTCTACTAAAAAATACAAAAAATTATCCAGGTGTGGTGGGCGCCTGTAGTCCCAGCTACTCAGGAGGCTGAGTCAGCAGAATGGTGTAAACCTGGGAGGCGGCGATTGGCAGTGAACCGAGATCGCGCCACTGCACTCCAGCCTGGGCGACAGAGCGAGACTCCGTCTCAAAAACAACACCTGTGTCCTGTGATGGCTCCAGGTGGACCGCTGCATCTTGGCCTTCTCGCCTTCCTGCTCTTTTGTGGCCATGATGACTCCCACAGGACAGAGGGCAGGGGATGAACAGGAAGGGCTGAAGCTGAGTACCCTAGCATGTGGACATCACTGAGCAGGTTGGAGTTGTGGAAATGTTCTCATCCTTCTACCATTTGTTTCATATTTTTGCAGGTTGGAAAACTGTCGTCTTACAGAAGCCAGTTGCAAGGACCTTGCTGCTGTCTTGGTTGTCAGCAAGAAGCTGACACACCTGTGCTTGGCCAAGAACCCCATTGGGGATACAGGGGTGAAGTTTCTGTGTGAGGGCTTGAGTTACCCTGATTGTAAACTGCAGACCTTGGTGTAAGTCCCTGCTGGGTGTGTGTGTGTGTGCACATGAATTCAAGCAGGAGAGACATGAAAGTACTTGTTAATTCATTTCAAATGTAACTTTTAAAAACCTGGTAAGAATTAAAGAACAGGCAGAGGCCAGGCGTGGTGGCTCATGCCTGTAATCCCAGCACTTTGGGAGGCCGAGGCGGGTGGATCATGAGGTCAGGAGATGGAGACCATCCTGGTTAACATGGTGAAACCCTGTCTGTACTAAAAATACCAAAAATTAGCCAGGTGTGGTGGCGGATGCCTGTAGTCCCAGCTACTTGGGAGGATGAGACAGGAGAATGGCGTGAACCTGGAAGGCGGAGGTTGCAGTGAGCCGAGATCGCACCACTGCACTCCAGCCTGGGCGACAGAACAAGACTCCTTCTCAAAAAAACAAAGAAACAAAAAAAACCAGGCAGATACAGGTAGAAACATGTTAATATTTGCATGTCAGCAGAGCCTCTTCCTGCTATGAAGGAAGATTTGAGATGAGTAGTTGGTTCTCGGATCTGATGCTTTGTGTGTGTTCTTTCAAATTCCTATGACATAGTACTGCCTGCTATTGGAGGTAGATTGAGTTATGTGGTAGGGCCAGTGGCACCTTTTTTTAAACTTTTATTTCCATAGGTTATTGGGGAACAGGTGGTGAATGGTGGGCAGATCACCTAAGGTTCGAGACCAGCCTGGCCAACATGGTGAAAACCCATCGCTACTAAAAAATACAAAAATTAACCAGGCTTGGTGGTGCGTGCCTATAGTACCAGCTACTCAGAAGGCTGAGGTAGGAGAATCGCTTGAATCTGGGAGGCAGAGGCTGCAGTGAGCTGAGATGGCGCCACTGCACTCCAGCCCGGGCGACAGAGTGAGACTCCGTCTCAAGAAAAAAACAAAAAAAAACTCAACAAAAATCCTTATTTGTAAAAGACATAGGTGGCAGGTTGGAATTGACCCACGAACTATAGTTGGCTGAATCTTGTTATATGGAAAGAAGCCCAGCGTGAGCTACCTGTTCACATTAAAATTATGGTTAGAAAAATATTCAAGAGATTGCATAGGGTTGAAGACCTGTTCCTGTTCAGAAATTCTAGCTAGTGGTCATTTCTGAGATTCATTTTTTTTTTTTTGGATGAAGTCTCACTCTGTCGCCCAGACTGGAATGCAGTGGTGTAATCTTGGCTGACTGCAACTTCTGCCTCCCAGGTTCAAGCGATTCTCCTGCCTCAGCCTCCCAAGTAGCTGGGATTACAGGTGCCCTCCACCATGCCTGGCTAATTTTTGCACTTTTAGTGGAGATGAGGTTTCACCATGTTGGCCAGGCTGGTCTTGAACTCCTGGCCTTAAGTGATCTGCCTGCCTCGGCCTCCCAAAGTGCTGGCGTTCCAGGCATGAGCCACTGTGCCTGGCTTAGAATAACTATTGTTAAACAAACAGTCACCTACCTGATCGTTATACGAAGTGTACCTGCACCAAAACATCACACTATACCCCTATATATGTAGAATGTGTCAGTTAAAGACAAAACTTAAACATGAAATAAAATGACAGGGAAAGTGAAATTTCCATAATCTAACCACGCAGAAAATAAGTGACCCAGGGCTCAGATCCTGTCCTGGGTCGGTCTGAACCCAGAGCCTAAGCTGTTGTCCCAGGCAGAGCTGGAAATGGATGGAATCAGAAGGCCATTTGGATGTTTTTTTTTTTTTTTTAACAGTCTCTCTCTGTCACCAGGCTGGAGTGCAGTGGTGCGATCTTGGCTCACTGCAACCTCCGCTTCCTGGGTTCAAGTAATTCTCCTACCTCAGCCTCCTGAGTAGCTAGGATTACAGGCATGGGCCGCCACACCTGGCTAATTTTTTTTTTTTTTTGAGATGGAGTTTCGCTCTTGCCCAGGCTGGAGTGCAATGGTGCAATCTCTGCTCACCACAACCTCCGTCTCCCCAGTTCAAGAGATTCTCCTGCCTCAGCCTCCTGAGTAGCTGGGATTACAGGCATGTGCCACCACACCTGGCTAATTTTGTATTTTTAGTAGAGACGGGTTTCTCCATATTGCTTAGGCTGGTCTTGAACTCCCGACCTCAGGTGATCTGTCTGCCTCAGCCTCCCAAAGTGCTGAGATTACAGGTGTGAGCCATCGTGCCCAGCTAATTTTTGTATTTAGTAAAGATGGGGTTTCACCACTTTGGCCAGGCTGGTCTTGAACTCCTGATCTTGTGATTCACCCACCTTGGTCTCCCAAAGTGCTGAGATTACAGGTTTGAGCCACCGCGCCCGGCCCGATTTTTGTATTTTTTAGTAGAGATGGGGTTTCACCATGTTGGCCAGGCTGGTCTTGAACTCCTGACCTCAAATGATCTGCCCGTCTTGGCCTCCCACTGCTGTGATTATAGGCGTGAGCCACTGTGCCCGGCCCATTTGCATGCTTTTATGTGCAAGCCCACCTGGAAGTATATAGCTCCAGTTCATGGGTCAATTCCTACCTGCCACCTATGTTTTATATAAATACTTTTTGTTGTTGTTGTTGTTTTCTTGAGACGGAGTCTCGCTCTGTCGCCCGGGCTGGAGTGCAGTGGCGCGATCTCAGCTCACTGCAGCCTCTGCCTCCCGGATTCAAGCGATTCTCCTGCCTCAGTCTTCTGAGTAGCTGGCACTACAGGCGTGCACCACCAAGTCTGGTTATATAGGTGGCGGGCACCTATAATCCCAGCTACTTGGGAGGCTGAGGCAGAAGAATCGCTTGAACCTGGGAGGCAGAGGTTGCAGTGAGCCAAGAGTGCAGCACTGCATTCCAGTATATAAGTGGAAGGTATATAGTGTTGGAAATAACTGCTTCACAGGGCGTTAGCCAGAGGGATAACAGGCTTCTCTTCCTTTGATTATCCTGTAGGTTACAGCAATGCAGCATAACCAAGCTTGGCTGTAGATATCTCTCAGAGGCGCTCCAAGAAGCCTGCAGCCTCACAAACCTGGACTTGAGTATCAACCAGATAGCTCGTGGATTGTGGATTCTCTGTCAGGCATTAGAGAATCCAAACTGTAACCTAAAACACCTACGGTAGGCGATTTTCTTTTTCTTCTTTCTTTCTTTTTTTGAGACAGGGTCTTGCTCTGTCCCCCAGCCTGGAGTGCAGTGGGGTGATTACGGCTCACTGCGGCTTCGGTCTTCCAGGCTTGATCGGTTCTCCCACCTCAGCCTCCTGAGTAGCTGGCTCTACAGGCATGTATTACCATGGCCAGGTAACTGTTTTCTGTAGAGATGAGGTCTTGTCATCTTTCCCGGGCTGGTTTTGAATTCTGGTGCTCAAGGAATCCTCCCACCTCGGCCTCCCAATGTGCTAGGATTACAGGCATGAGCCATCATGCCTGGCCTCATTTTTAAAGTGTTTGGAAATCTGGAAATCCTTAATTTCTATGTTTTCTTTTTTTTTTTTTTTTTTTGAGACGGAGCCTCGTTCTAGTTGCCCAGGCTGGAGTGCAGTGGCGCGATCTCGGCTTACTGCAACCTCTTCCTCCCGGGTTCTCGCTATTCTCCTGCCTCAGCCTCCTGAGTAGCTGGGACTACAGATGCCCGCCACCGTGCCTGGCTAATTTTTTTTGTATTTTTAGTAGAGATGGGTTTCACAGTGTTAGCCAGGATGGTCTCGATCTCCTGACCTCATGATCTGCCCGCCTTGGCCTTCCAAAGTGCTGGGATTACAGGCGTGAGCCACCACGCCCGGCCAATTTCTATGTTTTCAATATCTCAGACTGTATCACTTCGGATCCAGTTTTAAGATCAAACCCCTCCAGAAACTGAATATATGTGGGTGGGCACTTCTAAAGTCAGGTAGAGGGCCTGGAGAAGTGAAATATATATAACAATGGCCCCCAGTGACCTGGACTTCAGCAGCATGCTGCTTCTGCTGGGATCCAGTAATCAGGAAGCAGTGAGCCTGCCCCACCTCATAAACCCAGGGAACCATAGGTGGGATACCACCCCCAGAAAATGCAAAGTCTCCACAAATGGAATGGCGAGCTCTTCATCACTTCTCTCCCCAAAGTTTGTCAGTTGCATCTCTTGGATGCAACCTATTTTCCAACTAGAATCTGCAATCCTAATGCAAAGAGAATCTGCACGTCATTACTACTTAGCTTTGCTGTAGAGTAAAGAAAAAAAACACTAGAACACAGGGTACTTTTTTTCTTTTTTCAGACAGAGTCTCGCTTTGTCACCCAGGCTGGAGTGCAGTGGTGCGATCTTGGCTCACTGCAACCTCAGCCTCCAAGGTTCAAGCGATTCTCCTGATTGAGCTGAGTAGTTGGGATTACAGGCGTGCACCACCATACCCAGCTAATTTTTGTATTTTTAGTAGAGACCAGGTTTCACCATGTTAGCCAGACTGGTCTCAAACTCCTGACCTCAAGTGATCCACCTGCCTCAACCTCCCAAAGTGCTGGGATTACAGGCATGAGCCACCATTCCTGGCCTCCTGAAGTTTCTTAACCCATCCCCCTGAGGAATATTTCAAGCCTCAAGCCAGACCGTGATACCTTTATTTCCAAAGACTCAAAAGCTCAATGCAAACGGGTGGATTACCTGGTGTCTTGTTCCTGTAATCTCAGCTATGACTGTAATCCTAGATTCTCGGGAGGCTGGGGCAGGAGAATCGCTTGAACCCAGGAGGCGGAGGTTGCAGTGAGCCGAGATCACGCCATTGCACTCCAGCCTTGGCAACAAGAGTGAAACTCTGCCTTAAAAAAAACAAAACCAAAGGCTTCTACAGTGGCCTACAGGGCCTTATGGGGGATCCTCGTGTAAGTTATGAGCCATAAATCATTCTACTTTCTCACTAGCTCAGTATTTTATTTACAAGATTCCCTCCCCCAGTTAGCATGCTGGTTCATGATCTACCATCCTTCAGTTTCTTTCCTCATATCACTTTCCAAAAGAGGACTTAAATGACCAGCATAAGTCTAGCCAATCAATGCCTCTCTGTTTGACTTACCTCTACCCTGTTTATTTTAATACCATCATCCATTGTCTTCAATAGAACATATCGAGATGTCTGCTGTCACTAAAAACTCTGAGGACAAGGATTTCTTCTGCTCACTCCCCTCTGCCTTTCCTCACTACTGGAGCCCCAGCAAATATGCTGCTTGTTTTTTTGTTTTGTTTTGTTTGAGACCAAGTCTCACTCTTTCACCCAAGCTGGAATGCAGTGGTGATATGTTGGCTAACTACAACCTCTGCCTCCTGGTTCAGGCGATTCTCCTGCCTCTCGAGTAGCTGGAATTATAGGTGGTTCCACCATACCTGGCTAATTTTTGTATTTTCATTTTATGTTATATATTTGTGAGATGGAGTCTCATTCTATTGCCCAGGCTGGAGTGCAGTGGCGCAATCTGGGCTCACTGTAACCTCCGCCTCCCAGGCTGAAGCGATTCTTGTGCCTCAGCCTCCCAAGTAGCTAGCATTAAAGGCACACACCACCATGCATGGCTAATTTTTTGTAGAGATGGGGTTTTGCCATGTTGGCCTGGCTGGTCTCGAACTCCTGACCTCAGGTGATCTACCCTCCTCGGCCTCCCAAGGTGCTGGGGCTACAGGTGTCTGTCCCCACGCCCTGCCTAATCTTTGTATTTTTAGTAGAGATGGGGTTTGACCGTGTTGGCAAGGCTGGTCTCGAACACCTGGCCTCAAGTGATCCACCCGCCTTGGCCTCCCGAAGTGTTGGGATTACACGCTTGAGCCACTACCTGCTCAGTGAATGCGTGGATTTCCATGTTCTTCCTCAACAGCCTCTGGAGCTGCTCCCTCATGCCTTTCTATTGTCAGCATCTTGGATCTGCTCTCCTCAGCAATCAGAAGCTTGAAACTCTGGACCTGGGCCAGAATCATTTGTGGAAGAGTGGCATAATTAAGCTCTTTGGGGTTCTAAGACAAAGAACTGGATCCTTGAAGATACTCAGGTATGGGTTTTTTGTTTTGTTTTGTTTTGTTTTTTGTTTTTGTTTTTTTGAGATGGAGTCGTGCTCTGTCATTCAGGCTGGAGTGCAGTGGCGCAATCTTGGCTCACCGCAACCTCTGCCTCTCAGGTTCAAGCAATTCTCCTGCCTCAGCCTCATGAGTAGCTGGGCCTAGAGGCATGCCAACATGTCCAGCTAATTTTTTTCTTTTTCTTTTTTTTTTTTTGAGACGGAGTTTTGTTCTTGTAGCCCAGGCTGGAGTGCAGTGGTGCGATCTTGGCTCACTGCAACCCCCACCTCCTGGGTTCAAGCGATTCTCCCACCTTGGCCTCCCAAGTAGCTGGAATTACAGATGCCTGCCACCATGCCTGGCTAATTTTTTAGTAGAGAGGGGTTTCACCATGTTGGCCAGGCTAGTCTTGAACTCCTGACCTCAGGTGAGCCACCTGCCTCGGCCTCCCAAAGTGGTGGGATTACAGAGGTGAGCCATTGCACCCGGCCTTTTTGGTTTTTGCTTTTTGGGATGGAGTCTCACTGTTGCCCAGGCTGGAGTGCAGTGGCGCGATCTTGACTCACTGCAGCCTCCTTCTCACAGGTTGAAGCGATTTTCCTGCCTCAACCTCCTGAGTAGCTGGGATTACAGGTACACACCACCACAGCTGGCTAATTTTTTTTTTTTTTTTTTTTTTTTAAAGACAGAGTCTCTCTCTGTCCCCCAGGCTGGAGTGCAGTGGCGCTATCTCGGCTCAGTGCAACCTCTGCCTCCTGGGTTCAAGTGATTCTCCTGCCTCAGCCTCCTGAGTAGCTAGGATTACAGTCGCTCGCCACCACACCCAGCTAATTTTTGTATTTTTAGTAGAGATGGGGTTTTGCCATGTTGGCCAGGCTGGTCTCGAGCTCCTGACCTCAGGTGATCTTCTCGCCTTGGCCTCCCAAAGTGCTGGGATTACAGGCATGAGCCACTGCACCTGGCCAATTTTTGTAGTTTTTAGTAGAGATGGGGTTTCACCATGTTGGTCAGGTTGGTCTCAAACTCCCAACCTCAGGTGATCCACCTGCCTCAGCCTCTCAAAGTGCCGGGATTACAGGCGTGAGCCACTGTGCTCGGCCCTGGGATGGCTGTTTCACATGGTGAATTTCCCATGCAGAGAAGAGTTTTTTTGGGAGTGTGTGTACTCTTTGTAGGGATCAACTTAAGGCATCTTTCTATAGCACACTCCTAGCTTAGGAGATAATTTAAAAATTAGATACTTTTCTAAAATGCTCTGTGAATTGAATATTGTCCAACTTTCCCCCAAAACACTTAGTCCTAGGCATACTGAGAGTTTAAATCATCCTGGAGTACAGACTGGAAGCTTGTGTGTATGTGTGTGCATGAGCACACACACACACACACACACACCCCTAATCATTATATCCAAAAATAGGTAGTTCCCAGAGCTGTCCTGGGTCTTAGCTTTTCAGAAGATCGTCCTACAGATGCTCCCTTAGTTGTGACCCGTGTATATCTTTTCAATGACTTATTTGTATTTTTTATTTTTTTTTGAGACGGAGTCTTTTTTTTGAGACGGAGTCTGTCTTTTTTTTTGAATCTGTCTTTTTTTTGAGACAGAGACTCCAGTCTCTGTCGCCCAGGCTGGAGTGAAGCGGTGCGATCTCGGCTCACTGCAAGCTCCACCTCCCGGGTTCACGCCATTCTCCTGCCTCAGCCTCCCGAGCAGCTGGGACTACAGGCGCCCGCCACCACGCCCGGCTAATTTTTTGTATTTTTAGTAGAGATGGGGTTTCACTATGTTGGCCAGGCTGGTCTCGAATTCCTGACCTCAGGTGATCTGCCCACCTCGGCCTCCCAAAGTGCTGGGATTACAGGCGTGAGCCACCGCGCCCGGCCTCAGTGACTTATTTTAACGTAATCTACCTTTAGTTTCTTCTTGCCTTTGTCTTTTCTTTTCTGAGACAACGTTTTGCTCTGCTGCACTGTGTGGCCGTGTTGCCGAGGTTCTCAAACTCCTGGCTTCAAACGATCCTCCTGTCTTGGCCTCACAAAGTACCCGGATTGCAGGCGTGAGCCACTGTGCACAGCCCACTTGTCTTATTCAAGAGTTATTTTAGTTGTAGAGATGATACGCATGTAAACTGCTTCATGATGCCCAGTGTTGCATTATTGGAACGCTAAGCATGTGGGAGTTATTTATATCCTGCTCAAGGTACGATTTTTCACACGTCTGCAGTTCAAATAATTGTAACCTCTGGCATAAATGGGTTAAGGTTTTAGGGGTATATCATGAAACTTGAGCTAAATAGTGTCATGCTTCTCTTGTTGGTGGGACCGAGGTCTGTAATGCCACCAAGGACTATTGGTGACAAATCTCTAGCCCCCTGTGGTCTCTTATGTCATATGTTTGGGGCGTATTTCTTTTCTCATTCCTCAGTTCCTCCTTTGGGAGGCCAAGGTGGGAGGATTGTTTGAGGCCAGGAGTTTGAGACCAGCCTGGGCAACATAGCAAGCCAGTGTCTCCACAATCACCACCCCTCATGTTCACATACACAGGCTTGCATGCTGCAGCCACGTTAGAGCCAAGTTTGCTATCATTAACCCTGGGGTTCACTCTGGCATTCTCTTAGTTCTACTGAAGGTTTGATTTGCCACTATTTTTTATTTATTTATTTGGAGGCAGAGTCTCGCTCTGTCACCCGGGCTGCAGTACAGTGGTGCGGTATTGGCTCACTGCAACATCTGCCTCCCAGGTTCAAAGCGATTCTCCTGTCTCAGCCTCCTGAGTAGCTGGTATTACAGTTGTCTGCCACCATGCCCAGCTAATTTTTGTATTTTTAGTAGAGACGGGGTTTCACTATGTTGGCCAGGCTGGTCTCGAATTCCTGACCTCAGGTGATCTGCCCGCCTCGGCCTCCCAAAGTGCTGGAATTATAGGCGTGAGTCACCGTGCACCAGCCTGATTATCTATTTTTTAAATTTATTTTTTAAAGGCATGTTTTACTCTGTTACCAGGCTGGAGTGCAGTAGGGCAATCTCTAGCTCGTTGCAACCTCCGCCTCCTGGGCTCAAGTGATCCTCTTGCCTCCGCCTCCCGAGTAGCTGGGACTATAGGCGTGCACCACCATTCCTGGCTAACTTTTTCTATTTTTGGTAGAGACAGGGTTTCACCGTGTTGCCCAGGCTGGCCTTGAACTGCGGAGCTCAAGCAATCTGCCTGCCTTGGCCTCCCAAAGTGCTGGGACTACAGGTGCGAGACACCGTGCCTGGCCATAATCTTTTTTTTCTTAGACTTATAAGGATCCCCATTGTGTGGGTCTAAATTTCTTTTTAGAAAACTTTTCTGACTGGGTGCTGTGGCTCACATCTGTAATCCCATGGCTTTGGGAGGCCGAGGTGGATGGATCACTTGAGGCCAGAAGTTCGAGACCAGCCTGGCTAACATGTCGAAACCCCATCTCTACTGTAAATACAAAACTTAGCCAAGCGTGGTGGTGCACACCTGTAATCACAGTTACTCAGGAGCCTGAGGCATGAGAATTGCTTGAACTTGGGAGCTGGAGGTTGCAGAGAGCCAAGATGGCACCACTGTACCCCAGCCTGGGCAACAGAGCAAGACCCTGTCCCCCAGAAAATCCCAAAAACGTTTCCTGCTTTGAGTGTTTGAAAACAGATATTCAGGCATCCTGGGTAGTTGAGAATGAATTTCTGGGAACATTTGTGTTCTCTGATCCCTCCAGGTTGAAGACCTATGAAACTAATTTGGAAATCAAGAAGCTGTTGGAGGAAGTGAAAGAAAAGAATCCCAAGCTGACTATTGATTGCAATGCTTCCGGGGCAACGGCACCTCCGTGCTGTGACTTTTTTTGCTGAGCAGCCTGGGATCGCTCTACGAATTACACAGGAAGCGGGATTCGGGTCTCTAAGATGTCTTATGAATGCAGGTCAGAGGGTCACATGTTAACACTAGAGTCTGTCGAGAGGTAGGATTTGACACTGGTTTTCTCACTATTTTTGGGAGATTCTGCACGAGTCACGCACCCCCTTCACATGACGCTATGTACTTTCTCACAGGGATAATAAAGTTAGAGCACTCTCGTTGCAGCTGCGTTTATTGACATGCTCAGGAGCAAACCTGCAATAAACATGGTACTCTGTGCTTTGTCTAGGAGGAAGTATTGCTAAGAAGTTCAGGGATGATTCGGTTGATTCTTCTATTTCTTTTCTTCCCTAACTCAGGCGCCATGTGGTCTACTATCTGCCAGGTGCATCTATGTGATCAGTGTGTCTTTGTGACTTATGTGATCATAACTTATGTGATCAACCCACGCATTGACAAACGGGCCAGATAGTTCATATGCTTGGCACTGTGGGCCCCGCGGTCTCTCATCAGCTCTCAGCTGTGCCTTTGGACATGGAAGCAGCGCAGGGCCTGGCTGGCACCTGCGGAGGCTTCCCAGAAACAGCTCGTGGGCCATGGGCAGCCAGCCCTGTTCTAATCTATCCTGTTACTCACAAAGCACAAGCTTACAGTCACTGTTGCCTTTAATTCAGAAGATGGCCCTGCCTCACGCTGGTTCTGCTCGGCTCCCACGGGCCGCCTCCTACTCTCTGTGTGTGTGTGTATGTGTCTCTCTCTCTCTCTGTCTCTGTGTGTCTCTCTTTGTTTCTCTGTGTCTGTCTTTTTGTCTCTCTGTCTCTGTGTCTGTTTCTGTGTGTGTGTCTCTGTGTCTGTCTGTGTTTCTCTGTGTGTGTCTCTGTCGCTGGGCGTTTCTATCTCTGTCTTTGTATGTGTCTCTCTGTTCTTTCGTTTTTTTTTTTTGTTTTTTTTTTTGAGACGGAGTTTCACTCTTGTCGCCCATGCTGGAGTGCAATGGCGTGATCTCAGCTCACTGCAACCGCGCCTCCCAGGTTCAAGTGATTCTCCTGCCTCAGCCTTCCGAGTAGCCGGAATTACAGCCCTGTGCCACCATGCCTGGCTAATTTTTTGTATTCTTACTAGAGACGGGGTTTCACAATGTTGGCCAGGCTGTTCTCGGACTCCTGACCTCAGGTGATCTACCCGCCTCAGCCTCCCAGAGTGGTGGGATTACAGGCGTGAGCCACCGAGCCCAGCCTGTCTGTCTGTTTCTGTGTGAGTCTGTGTGGCTGTCTCTGGGAGTCTCTGTGTATGTCTCTGTCTCTCTCGCCTCCCCGTTTCTCTCGGCTTCCCATTGCCATGGCAAACACAGCTTTTCCACACCCTGTATTTGGTCATTCATAGAAAATGCATAGAAGTCACTCCGCAATTTTCCTTAAGAATGAAAAGTTGTCACCATGATGTTAGCACTGGCTTCCAGGCGCTGCCAAAAGGGACTGACCCCTCTCCTCACTTGGCTCTCCACGCTTGCGGTAGGTGATGAGACTATTTTAATAAGAGCAGCCAGGCGCTGTGGCTCACACCTGTAATCCCAGCACTTTGGGAGGCCGAGGCGGGCGGATCACCTGAGGTCAGGAGTTCGAGACCAGCCTCAACATGGAGAAACCCCGTCTCTACTAAAAATACAAAATTAGCCGGGTGGGGTGGTGTATGCCTGTAATCCCAGCTACTCGGGAGGCTGAGGCAGGAGAATCGCTTGAACCCGGGAGGCGGAGTTTGCGGTGAGCTGAGATTGTGCCACTGCACTCCAGCCTGGGCAATAAGAGCAAAACTCTTGTCTCGAAAAAAAAAAAATAAGAGCATTGATATGGGGAAAGTTGTCATGGTCCCAGGCACAAAAACACGGGCATATGGCTAATGCTTTAGGTTGAAAGCTTGTATGACAAAGTTTTCTTTTCTTTTTTTTTTTTTTTTTTTTTTTGAGATGGAGTCTTGCCTCTGTCGCCCAGGCTGGAGTGCAGTGGTGCGATCTTGGCTCACTACAACCTCTGCCTCCTGGGTTCAAGTGAGTCTTCTGTCCCAGCCTCCGGAGTAGCTGAGACTAGAGGTGTGCGTCACCATGCCTGGCTAATTTTTGTATTTTTAGTAAAGACGAGGTTTCACCATGTTAGCCAGGCTGGTCTTGAACTCCTGACCTCAGGTGATCTGCCCGCCTTGGCCTCCCAAAGTGCTGGGATGACAGGCGTGAGCCACTGTGCCTGGCCTGACAAAGTTCTTTTTACTAACCCAAACCTGGAGGTTGAGTGGCTTCAGCACTGAATGATCCCATGAAGGCCCTCATTTATCTTGCTGTTGAGCATTGCTGTCTTTCGTGAGCCCTTGTCAAGATAAGTCTTCTCAAATGCTCGAGATCACTGTGGTGTTTAAGGCTACAGTCAGCTGGTAGTAATGCAGGCTGTGGGTGGTAACAGTGTTTAGCGGGATACAGCTCACACCGATGGGAAGGGTGGTAGAGACAGCGTGAATAAAGGAAGTGGTCAGGTGATGAGAGGTAGGGCTGAGTCAACATTTAGGGTTCTACATGCACATGAAGTTCCCGTGTAGAATTTGCTAAAAATAAAGACACAAAGATAGTAGGTAGAGGCTGGGAGTGAAAACATCTGGGTCGGACTCTGCTGCATATTTAATTGAAGTTTTTTTCCCCTAAATATTTTATCTACTTAAAAATTTTGATTTTGTTTAAGATAGTAGTCTTTTTTTTGGTGGGGTGGTGGGGCGGACAGAGTCTCACTTGGTTGCCTAGGCTGGAGTGCAGTGGCGTGATTTCACCATGTTGGCCAGGCTAGTCTCAAACTCCTGACCTCAGGTGAGCCACCCGCCTCGGCCTCCCAAAGTGCTGGCATGACAGGCGTGAGCCACCGTGCCCAGCCAAGATGGTGGTGGTGCTGTGTTGCCCACAGCCGGGTTGGAGTGCAATGGTGCGATCTTAGCTCACTGCAGCCTTAAACTCAAGGAATCCTCCCACCTGAGCCTCCTGAGCTGGGATTACAGGTGCATGCCAAACATGCTTGGCTAATTTTAAAATATTTTATAGAGATGGAGTCTTGCTGTATTGACCAGGCTTGTCTTGAACTGCTGGCCTCCAGTTATCCCCTTGCCTTCGCTTCCCAAAGTGCTGGGATTACACGCGTGAGCTGCCACACTGGGCTCTTACCCACTTACCAGTAATAAACACAGAACTCCTAAAGTGCTGTGATTACGGCGCCTGACCAGCCTTAATTACCTCTGAAAAGCCCTGTGTCCAAATAGAGTCACATCTGGGGTAGGGCTTGTACATGACGTTTGGTGGGACCAATTCAGTCCGTAGCAAGGACTGTCCTGTGTATCACGTGATGTATAGCAGCACCCCTGGACTTGGATGAGCCTGAGCCTGCCCCCACTGCAACTCGTGACAACCAAAAAACCTCTCGGGATGTGGCCAGATACCCCCATGGGGACAAAATCACCCCCAGTTAAGAATGGCTGGCTCAGCCATTCACAATTGCAAAGATGTGGAACCAACCGAAGTGCCCATTGAATAATGAGTGGATTGTGGGCGGCAAGGCACCCAGGCACCGAGGCAAGAGACAGAGGACACGAGCTGTTCCAGTATAATAAAATATAAAACAAGAATTGTTATACCAGATATAGATCTTAGATATGATTATATATGAGTATCATTAATCATTAGCCGGTAGCAATTACTTTTTATTCCAATATTATAATAATCCTCACTCTATAATCATAGCCTAGGAAAAACCAGGCCATACAGAGATAGGAGCTGAGGGGACATAGTGAGGTGTGACCAGAAGACAAGAGTGCGAGCCTTCTGTTATGCCCGGACAGGGCCACCAGAGGGCTCCTTGGTCTAGCGGTGACGCCAGCGTCTGGGAAGACACCCGTCACCAAGCGGATCATGGTCCAGCGGTAGCAAAAGGTGTCAATTAACAACACCCGCTACTTAGCAGACCGGGAAAGGGGCAGCGGGTGGGGGGGGGGGTCTCCCTTTCCCCGGGGGAGTTTAGAGAAGACTCTGCTCCTCCACCTCTTGTGGAGGGCCTGACATCAGTCAGGCTCGCCCGCAGTTATCCGGAGGCCTAACCGTCTCCCTGTGATGCTGTGCTTCGGTGGTCACGCTCCTAGTCCGCCTTCATGTTCCATCCTGTACACCTGGCTCTGCCTTCTAGATAGCAGTAGTAAATTAGGGAAAGTACTAATAGTCCCTGATATGCAGAAATAATGGCGTAAGCTGTCTTTCTCTCTGTCTCCTCTCCCTCTCTGCCTCGGCTGCCAGGCAGGGAAGGGCCCCCTGTCCAGTGGACACGTGACCCACGTGACCTTACCTATCATTGGAGGTGACTCACACTCTTTACCCTGCCCCTTCTGCCTTGTATCCAATAAATAACAGCGCAGCCAGACATTCGGGGCCACTACCGGTCTCCGCGCATTGGTGGTAGTGGTCCCCCGGGCCCAGCTGCCTTTTCTCTTGTCTCTTTGTCTTGTGTCTTTATTTCTACACTCTCTCGTCGCCGCACACAGGGAGAGACCCACCGACCCTGTGGGGCTGGTCCCTACAGTGGATAAAGAAAACGTGGTGTCTATGTACCATGGAATACTATTCAGCCATTAGAAGGAATGAAATAATGTCATTTCCAGCAATTTGGATGGAGCTGGAGGCCATTATTCTAACAGGAGTAGAATCCATATGTTCTCACTTTTTTTTTTTTTTTTTAAGACAGTTTTGCTCTTGTTGCCCAGGCTAGAGTGCAATGGTGTGATCTTGGCTCACCGCAACCTCCGCCTCCTGGGTTCAAGCGATTCTCCAACCTCAGCCTCCCTAGTAGCTGGGATTATAGGCACGTGCCACCACACCCAGCTATGTATTTTTCTATTTTTAGTAGAGATGGGGTTTCACCATGTTGGCCAGACTGGTCTTGAACTCCTGGCCTCAGGCGATACACCTGCCTCAGCACCCCCAAAGTGATGGGATTACAGGCGTGAGCCACCGCCACCGTGCCTGGCTCTGTATGTTCTCAGTGGGAGCTAAGCTGTTGGTACACAAAGGCAGAGTGATGTAATGGGCTTCAGAGTCTCAGAAGGGGGAGGGCAGAAGGGAGGCCACAGATAAAAAACTACACATTAGGCCAGTGTGGTCGCTCACGCCTGTAATCTCATCACTTTGGGAGACCCAGGCGGGCCGATCACTTGAGGCCAGGAGTTCGAGACCATCCTGACCAAGATGGTGAAACCCTGTCTTTACTTACTAAAAGTACAAAAAATTAGCCAGGCATGGTAGTGGGTGTCTGTAATGCCAGCACTTTGGGAGGCCAAGGTGGGAGAATCGCTTGAACCCGGGAGGCGGAGGTTGTTGCAGTGAGCTGAGGCCACGACACTGCACTCCAGCCTGGGTAACAGAGCGAGACTTGGTCTCTAAATAAATAAAATAAAGGGCTCAGACTCTATCTCAAAAAATAAATGAATAAGGCCGGGTGCGGTGGCTTACACCTGTAATCCCAGCACTTTGAGAGGCCGAGGCGGGAGGATCACGAGGTCAGATCGAGACCATCCTGGCTAACATGGTGAAACCCCGTCTCTACTAAAAATACAAAAAATTAGCCGGGCTAGGTGGCGGGCGCCTGTAGTCCCAGGAGAATGGTGTGATCCCGGGAGGCGGAGCTTGCAGTGAGCAGAGATCGCGCCACTGCAGTCCAGCCTGGGCGACAGAGCAAGACTCTGTCTCAAGAAAAATAAATGAATAAAAACAATAAGAAAGAAAAATAGCCACGTCTTACGTAGGCTGAGACTGGAGAGTTTCCGTGGACTCGTAACCCTGCCTTTGTCCCTGCACTGAAGGGTGTAAGGTGGTTGCTTTCTGCATGAGCCAGTGTTTCTCAGCCTTGGTGCTGCTGCCATCTGGGGCTGCCCTGGGCATTGTAGGAAGCTGAGCAGCACCCCTGGACCCTACCTACCAGATGCCAGTAGAACCCCTCCCCAAGTCATGACAATTAAAAATTACCATGGGCATTGCCAAATGTCCCCTGGAGTGGAGAGCAAAATCACCCAGCAGAGAACTGCTAGGCTAGAGAGGTGCAGGATCCTAGGCTGGGTGCGGGGGCCTGTAATCCTCGCACTTTGGGAGGCCAAGGTGGGCGGATCACATGAGGTCGGGAGTTCAAGACCAACCTGGCTAACATGGTAAAACCCCCATCTCCACTAAAAATACAAAAATTAGCCAGGCGTGGCGGCACATGCCTGTAGTCCCAGCTCCTTGGGGGGCTGAGGCAGGAGAATCGCTAGACCCCAGCAGGCAGAGGTTGCAGTGAGCCAAGATGGCACCACTGCATTCCATCCTGGGCGACAGAGCAAGACTGTAGTTTTTTTGTTTTTGTTTTTGTTTTTTTTTGAGGAGTCACAGTCTGTCACTCAGGCTGGAGTGCAGTGGCGCAATCTCGACTCACTGCAACCTCTGCCTCCCGGGTTTGAACGATTCTCCTGCCTCAGCCTCCCGAGTAGCTGGGATTGGCTCTGGTGGTGGAGGTGCCTGCAAACCTGTTGGTACTGTAACCGTCAGAAAACGAGTAGCAAGAAGTGTCCGAGAAAGCCAGAGAAGTGAGTCCTTCGAGGAGGAAGTGGTCAACGTGTCAAATACAACTGTGGGGGAGCAATAATGAGAAGGGCTGAAAAGGGTCACTGCATGTTCCAGGAAGGAAGCTCATTAGTGTTGGTCACACAGACAGCTTCAGAGGAAGTGTGGGGAGAGAAGCCAGTTTCTAGCGGGTGGGGAGCACAGGTGAGAAGTCAGAACAAAGGCCACCAGTGTGGGTTATGTCTTAGGGAGCGTGGGTCTTCTGGCTGGGCGCGGTGGCTCAGTAATCCCAGCGACTCTGGAGGCTGAGGCAGGAGAATCGCTTGAACCCGGAAAGCGGAGGTTGCAGTGATCCGAGATTGCAGCACTGCACTCCAGCCTGGGTGTGCAGAGCGAGACTCAAAAAAAAAAAAAAAAAAAAAAAAATAGAACAGTTGATCTCCTAGAAGTGAGAGTAGGTGGAGGTTATCAGGGGCTGGGGGTGGTAGGAGAGGAAGATGTTGGTCAAAAAGCACAAGTAGCTGGGTGTGGTGGCTCACGTCTGTAATCCCAGCACTTTGGGAGGCCAAGGCGGGTGGATCACCTGAGACCAGGAGTTTGAGACCAACATGGAGAAACCCCGTCTCTACTAAAAATACAAAAATTAGCCGGGCGTGGTGGCACGCACTTGTAGTCCCAGCTACTCGGGAGGCTGAGGCAGGAGAATCGCTTGAACCCGGGAGGCGGAGGTTGCAGAGTCAAGATCGCGCCACTGCACTCCAGCCTGGGTGACAGAGCAGGACTTCGTCTCAAAAAAAAAAAAAAAAAAAAAGCACAATATTCAGTTATAAGATGAGTTAGTTCTGGGGGTCTGATATATGGGATGGCGATTATGGTTAACACAAGCAGCTTTTAAATGTCTTTACCCCTGCTCCCCGTTACCAGCCAAAGCTGTGAAGTTCCAGGCCCTTGGTGTTTCGAACAAAGAATTGGGTGTGATACACACACATAGCAAAGCGGCATAAGTTTATTAAGCATAGGATTACACTCTTGGAGAGGGGAGAGCAGGCGGACCTCTGCGAAATGAGATCGGCATCAGCTCGCTGTACTTTGGGTCTTTTTTTTTTTTTTTCTTATTAGGAATATACAACCATTTATTCACTGTTCACTAGTATTTACAATAAAGTGAACAAAATACAGTTCAATAACATTCAGATTACCACAAAGTTGTGTTTCCTGGCTTTTACTGAACCAGTAAAGCAGATACTGAAAAGACTGAGCCTATGTGGTTTTTTTTTTTTTTTTTTTGAGATGGAGTCTCGCTCTGTCGCCCAGGCTGGAGTGCAGTGGCACGATTTTGGCTCACCGCAACCTCCGCCTCCCAGGTTCAAGCGATTCTCCTGCCTCAGCCTTCTGAGTAGCTAGGATTACAGGTGCCTACATGTAAGGAATGAGTTGGGGTAAAGAAAAAATACGCGAGTCAGCAGTTTATTTATTTTGAGAGGGAGTCTCGCTCTGTTACCAGGCTGGAGTGCAGTGGTGCAATCTCGGCTTACCACAACCTCTGCCTCCCGGGTTCAAGTGATTCTGCTGCCTCAGCCTCCCGAGTAGCTGAGATTACGGGTGCAAGCCACTGCGCCTGGCTAATATTTTGTATTTTTTAGTAGAGATGGGGTTTTACCGTGTTGGCCAGGCTGCTATTTAATGGAAAAATCAGATTTAGAGAATAAATTTGACCGGCATGAGGCACCAGAATAATGGGAGGGCGTGAGGACCCATGCGATGAGTATATAAATGGGTTGATAAGTAGAAGTTCTCAGGGAGGAAAGCGATGGTGGTGTCCAGACAGCATTTCAAGACCCCTAGTGAGAAGTCTCAAGTTGCAGGCTGTGCCACAGCCCCGTATATACATTCACTCATTTGATATATATTTCCCGAGAACCCCGTTATAGTTGCGGGAGCTGTGAATGCAGCCACTAAATCTGACATAGATCAATTCACACGAGTTCACGGTAGAGGCAGGAAAATGGACATGCATGCCGAATCAGGGTTCAAGTGCTGTTACAGGGAATTAACAGGTGCTTTGGGATGAGGAAAGTGTTGTCTTGGCTGGGCGCAGTGGCTCACGCCTGTAATCCTAGCACTTTGAGAGGCCAAGGCGGGGGGATCACCTGAACTCAGGAGTTTGAGACCACCCAGGGCAACATGATGAAACCCTACCTCTACTAAAGATGCAAAAAAAATTAACCGGGTGTGGTGGCGCGCGCCTCTAGTCCCAGCTACTTGGGAGGCTGAGGAAGGAGAATCGCTTGAGCCCCAGAGGCGAAGGTTGCAGTGAGCTGAGATTGTGCCACTGCACGCCAGCTTGGGCTACAGAGTGAGACTGTCTCAAAAAAAAAAAAAAAAGTGCTATCTTTGTGAAGTCGGAGTTGTGGAAACTCTTGGAGGAAATGATATCTCTGCAGAGCCCTGAAGAACAAGGCAAGGTGTGGATAAAGAAGCAAAGATGGTGGCCGGGTACGGTGACTCACACCTGTAATTCCAGCACTTTGGGAGGCCGAGGCTGGTGGATCACCTGAGGTCAGGAGTTCAAGACCAGTCTGGCCAACATTGTGAAACCCCATTTCTACTAAAAATACAAAAATTAGCCGGGCGTGGTGGTGCATGCCTATAATCCCAGCTATTCAGGAGGCTGAGGCAGGAGAATCATTTGAACCCTGGAGGTGGAGGTGGCAGTGAGCCAAGATTGCACCACTGCATTCCAGCCTGGGTGACAAAAGTGAAACTCGGGGGAAGGGATAGCATTAGGAGATATACCTAATGTTAAATGACGAGTTAGTGGGTGCAGCACACCAACATGGCACATGTATACATATGTAACTAACCTGCACGTTGTGCACATGTACCCTAAAACTTACATTAAAAAAAAAAAAAGTGAAATTCTGTCCCAACAAAACAAACAAAAAAAAAGAAAAAAAAAAAAAAGGAAGAGAAGATGGAATAATTCTGTGGTTAGAAGGAATTGGGGTATGGTTGGGATGCAGCCAGGAGTCACTTATTTTTTTTTTTTCTTTTTTTTTTTGAGACAGAATCTTGCTCTGTCACGTAGGCTGGAGTGCAGTGGTGCGATCTTGGCTCCCTGCAGCCTCCGCCTCCCGGGTTCAAGCTATTCTCCTGCCTCAGCCTCCTGAGTAGCTGGGATTACAAGCACACGCCACCATACCTGGCTAATTTTTATATTTTTAGTAGAGATGTGGTTTCACCATGTTGGCCAGGCTGCTCTCGAACTCCTGACCTCAGGTGATCCTCCCACCTTGGCCTCCCAAAGTGCTGGGATTACAGGCATGAGCCACCGTGCCTGGCCGAGTTTTTGTATTTTTAGTAGAGATGGGGTTTCATCATGTTGGCCAGGCTGGTCTCGAACTCCTGACCTCAGGTGATCTGCCCGCCTCAGCCTCCCAAAGTGTTGGGATTACAGGTGTGAGCCACCGTGCCTGGCAGGATTCACTTATAAAGCTGCTTCTCTACAACTGGTTGTTGCCACAATGCCTCCTGAACCATTTGATACAGACCTATTCTATATTGGTTATTAACTATTTTGAATGGCTTCCTGCAGAGAAAGGAAAGAAAAAAAGACCAAAGTAGGAAAAAAATATTTCCATGGCCATCCTGTTAAAGAAGGAGAGATCTTTTCAGAAAAGACCAGAGTGGTTAAAAGTATGGTTTGCAGTAAGTGGTACAAAAATAGTTAGAGCCTAGAAGAGACCATAGGATTTGTCTACAGAAGAAATTCAGTGGCTGGGCGCAGCGGCTTATGCCTGTAATCCCAGCCCTTTGGGAGGCCAAGGCGGGGAGATCACTTGAGGTCAGGAGTTCGAGACCAGCCAACAGGGAGAAACCCCGTCTCCACTAAAAATACAAAATTAGCTGGGGTGGTGGCACATGCCTGTAATCCCAGCTACTCAGGAGGCTGAGGCAGGAGAATCACTTGAACCCGAGGGATGGAGAGCTAGAGGTTGCAGTGAGCCAAGATCGCGCCATTGCACTCCAGCCTGGGCAACAAGAGAAAACTCTGTCTCAAAAAAAAAAAAAAAGAAATTTAGCATGTAGTTCTCCCACCCTCTGCATCGTCCGGGATGCTCTGACAAATGGAATGCCAGTGTCCCTCTTTCCCTGCAGTGACTCCCTCCTCCGTGGGTCCAACACAGAGCTCACGCCGCCCAGGCTCAACACCAGCTTTCAGATCCACCCATGGCCACTGTGTCTCATGGTCATTCTTCAAAGAGTCTGTGTGTTCAGCCTTCTCCTGCCTTCCCAAGTGGAAGCTCTGCTGGCTCGCTCTCTAGTCCTCTTCCTGCTGAGCCAGTCTTCAACCAGGAACCACACTAGAGCCACCAGGACTAGAAAGGCCAGGCCCATCCGAAGGAGATTCTGGGCAGTGTGATCCCAGAGGGCATGGTCTGTAGGCAGGAGAACAGGGTGATCGCTGACAGGGATGTAAGGACACCCTCTTTTTTTTTTTTTTTTTTTTTTTTTTTTTTTTTTTTTTTGAGACAGAGCCTCAGTCTTGTCGCCCAGGCTGGAGTGCAATGGCACGATCTCGGCTCACTGCAACCTCCACTTCCTGGGTTCAAGCTATTCTCCTGTCTCAGCCTCCCAAGTAGCTGGGACTACAGGCACACGCCACCACGCCTGGCTAATTTTTTTGTATTTTTAGTAGAGATGGGATTTCGCCATGTTGGCCAGACTGGTCTTGAACTCCCGACCTCAGATGATCTGCCCGCCTCGGCCTCCCAAAGGGCTGAGATTACAGGTGTGAGCTACTGCGCCTGGCCAAGGACACCCTCTTGTTCCCATTTAGATTCCCTTCCTAGGTCTACTCTATGCCCAGCCCCTTCCTTCAGAGCCTATGGCCCCAGCTGTCTACTTACCTTTCTGGAGTCCCGTCTCTGTGGTTAAAAGGTAGGTGCCCCAAGTGTCTGCTGATGATAAGGGAAGTGAAGAAAAGAGGATGGTTTTGACCTCCTCCACCCCAGCACTCCTTCCCTTGGGTCTACCCCATGACGTTCTGCAGCTTTACAAGGTCCCACCTCACCCTGCGGGTCCCAGGAGCTTCATCCAGCAGGTAAAGTGGAAGGGTCCACAGATGGACGAACCTGACGAGGAATTCCATTCTAGCACTTGTGAGCATGTGTCTTTGCACCAGTCATGTCTTCTATTTTTTTTTTTTTTGAGATAGAGTCTCACTGTGTTCCAGCCTCTGGAGTAGCTGGGACTACAGGCACACACCACATACCCAGGTAATTTTTTTCATATTTTTAGTAGAAACGGGGTTTTGCCATGTTGGCCAGGCTGGTCTTGAACTCCCAACCTCAGATGACCTGCCTGCTTCGGCCTCCCAAAGGGCTGGGATGACAGGCCTCTGAGGCTGGAGTACAGTGGTGTGATCTCAGCTCACTGCAACCTCCGCCTCCCGAGTTCAAGCAATCCTCTTGCTTCAGCCCCGAGTAGCTGTAATTACTGGCGTGCGCCACCACACCCAACTCATGTTTGTATTTTTAGTAGAGATGGGGTTTCACTGTGTTGGCCAGGCTGGTCTTGAACTCCTGACCTCAAGTGATCCAGCCGCCCCTGCCTTCCAAAGTGCTGGGATTACATGCGGGAGCCACCCGGCCCAGCCCGTCTTCTATTTAAGCCTCATTTTCCTCATTAAGTCATCATTACCTCTTTCTCCTCACACATACACACATAGTGAAATTCAAAGTCTCACTATTTTTTTTTCTTTTTCTTTTTCTTTTTTTTTTTTTTTGAGACGGAGTCTCACTCTGTCGCTCAGGCTGGAGTGCAGTGGCGCGATCTCAGCTCACTGCAAGCTCCGTCTCCCGGGTTCACGCCATTCTCCTGCCTCAGCCTCTTGTGTAGCTGGGACTACAGGCGCCCGCCACCACGCCCGGATAATTTTTGTATTTTTTTTTAGTAGAGACAGGGTTTCACCGTGTTAGCCAGGATGGTCTTGATCTCCTGACCTCATGACCCACCTGCCTCGGTTTCCCAAAGTGCTGGGATTACAGGCGTGAGCCACCGCGCCGGGCCTCACTCCTGTAATCCTAGCCGTGCGCCCCAGGCCCATCCCACCGTCATCTTCCAAACATCATTTTCAACCCTCCTGGCCTCATAGTTATTATTGTATTACCCCAGTTATCTTCCTGCCCCAGGGCACAGGCAGATGCCATTTCATTCTCTCCAGAGCCTCCTTTCTCCTGACAGCCACATGATTAACTCAAGTCTGAACGCATTTGCTCAGATGCCTTCTTTCTCTGTGAGGTCCATCTGGACAAACCTATTTAATATTGCTAGCTGCCATTTCAATCACTGTAAGTCTGTTCTACTTTGTCTTTTCCTTCCATAGCATCATTCCCTCCTGTGTGCTATCCTGACGTTGACCGATGGTGTGTCTCCTCCTGCTAGAATCTAAGTGCTGCAGAGTCAAGATATCTGCCTGGCTGACTGTTACAGTGTAGTTCACTGTGTATACTATGCACTTGATGAATATATATATATAATAGTTTTGTTTTTGTTTTTCTGTGAGATGGAGTCTCGCTGTGTCGTGCAGTGGAGTGGAATGCAGTGGCGCGATCTCAGCTCACTGCAACCTCTGCATCCCAGGTTCAACAATTCTCCTGCCTCAGCCTCCTGAGTAGCTGGGATTACAGGCGAGCACCACCAGGCCCGGCTAATTTTTGTATTTTTAGTAGAGATGGGGTTTCACCATGTTGGTCAGGCTGGTCTCGAATTCCTGACCTTGTGATCCAACCACCTTGGCCTCCCGAAGTGTTGGGATTACAGGTGTGAGCCATGATGCCCAGCCTAAGTTTTGTATTTTTAGTAGAGACAGGGTTTCGCCATGTTGGCCAGGCTGGTCTCAAACTCCTGACCTCAAATGATGCACCATCTCGGCCTCCCAAAGTGCTGGGATTACAGGCGTGAGCCACCACGCCTGGCCTCGATGAATATTTTGAATGAATGCCACGTTTTTAGTGTCACTGGGAGGCTCTGATTGCTCGTCTGAGCTTAGAAGGACCAGTTACTCACCAGGAAAGGTGGGGTCTTCAGGTGCAAGGCTGGTGTTCTCAATGTCGCCTGGAAAAGGAGATAAAGAAAAAAAAGTAAGGGTTTTTGGTTTCCTCCGGTCTTGCCATTCTTTTTTTTTTTTTTTTTTTTTTTGAGATGGAGTCTTGCTCTGTCGCCCAGGTTGCAGTGCGGTGGTATGATCTCGGTTCACTACAACCCCCGCCTCCCGGGTTCAAGCGATTCTCCTGCCTCAGCCTCCTGAGTAGCTGGGACTACAGGTGTCCGCCACTGCGTCTGGCTAATTTCTGTATTTTTAGTAGAGACGGGGTTTCACCGTCTTGGCCAGGCTGGTCTCGAACTCCTGACCTTGTGATCCACCCGCCTTACCATTCCTTTCTCTGCTCCCTCCTCCTTCCTGCTTCTGGTGTTCTTCCTCACATGACCAACCAGGCACCCAGGAAGTGGACGTCCCTTGGACACCCTCCCCATCACTCTCTGGGGATCCCTCAGGGCTCCAGGTAGGACATGGCGGCGAAGGGTGTGGGGAATTGAGCATTTCCTCACCTGTGACCAGGAGCTTCACTGGCTCACTGGGGAAAGACCAGGCATGGTTGTTATAGGAGCCAAAACATCGGTATGTCCCTCGGTGGGCTGTGGTCACAGGGCCCAGGGGGAACTCCGCCTGGACCTTCCCGTATCCGCGCTGTACGTGGCTGGATCTTCCCTCCTTGAGCAGTAAGAACATGCTTGTTGCAGTGTCTAGACGGCAGTAGAAGGTCACCTTCTCTCCCGAGATCACTTCGGGTCCAGGATGAACCGAGAGGGTGGGTGTGTCATACATTTCTATGAGAGAAGGTGGGGCCACCACACCAGAAACTCAGTGATGAGCAGCCAGCTATTTTTTTTTTTCTTTCTTTAGAGATGGAGTCTCTCTCTGTCGCCCAGGCTGGAGTGCAGTGACACGATCTTGGCTCACTGCAACCTCTGCCTCCCGGGTTCAAGCGTTTCTCCTGCCTCACCCTCCCAAGTAGCTGGGACTACAGGGGCCTGCCACCATGCCTGGCAGCCAGCTTTTTTTTTTTTTTTAATTATTATTTTGGTCAAATACACACAATAGAAGATTTACCGTCTAAAACCATTTTTAAAAATGATACAGGGTCTTGCTCTGTTTCCCAGGCTGGAGCGCCGTGGCACTATCTTTGCTTACTGAAGACTCGACCTCCTGGGTCAGGAGTTTGAGACCAGCCTGGTCAACATGGTGAAACCCCGTCTCTACTAAAAATGCAAAAATTAGCCGGGTGTGGTGGCACATGCCTGTAATCTCAACTACTTGGGAGGCTGAGGCAGGAGAATTGAGGCTGAGGCAGAGGTTGCAGTGAGCTGAGATTGTACCACTGCACTGCAGCGAGACTGTCTCAAAAAAAAAAAAAAAAAGCCCCGGCCAGCCGCCCCGTCCGGGAGGTTGGGGGGCAGCCCCCGCCCGGCCACTGCCCCGTCTGGGAGGTGGGGGGGCGCCTCTGCCCGGCCGCCCCGTCTGGGAAGTGAGGAGCCCCTCTGCCCGGCCGCCACCCCGTCTGGGAGGTGTACCCAACAGCTCATTGAGAATGGGCCATGATGACGATGGCGGTTTTGTCGAATAGAAAAAGGGGAAATGTGGGGAAAAGAAAGAGAGATCAGATTGTTACTGTGTCTGTGTAGAAAGAAGTAGACATAGGAGACTCCATTTTGTTCTGTACTAAGACAAATTCTTCTGCCTTGGGATGCTGTTAATCTATGACCTTACCCCCAACCCCGTGCTCTCTGAAACATGTGCTATGTCCACTCAGGGTTAAATGGATTAAGGGCGGTGCAAGATGTGCTTTGTTAAACAGATGCTTGAAGGCAGCATGCTCCTTAAGAGTCATCACCACTCCCTAATCTCAAGTACCCAGGGACACAAACACTGCGGAAGGCCGCAGGGACCTCTGCCTAGGAAAGCCAGAGACCTTTGTTCACATGTTTATCTGCTGACCTTCTCTCCACTATTGTCCTATGACCCTGCCAAATCCCCCTCTCCGAGAAACACCCAAGAATGATCAATAAATACTAAAAAAATTAAAAAAAAAAGAATAAATGAGTAGCTGTGTTCCCCTGCCAGAACCTCCAAACAAGGTCCAAAGACCCTGAGCAAATGAAAAGGCACAGACAAAAAATATATATATTTCAACACAAGTATATGACACAGAATATAGAAATAACTTTTCCTAATCAATCAAAATATAAGCAACCCAATTTAAAAATAGGCAAAAGATTTAAATAGACATTTCACAAAAGAAGATATTTGAATGGACATGAAATACTGTTGTGAGCTGCATAATGACATTTTGGCCAACAATGTACCACATATATGATGGTGGTCCCATAAGATTATAATGAAACTGAAAAATTCCTATTGCCTGATGACATCATAGCCTTCCTAGCACAAAGTATTGCTCATGTGTTTTTGGTGTTGCTGGTATAAACAAACCTAATTGTATAGCACATACAATTATGTATGTATATGTAACTATGTATAATACTTGATAATAATAATAAACAACCATATTGTTAAAAAAAAAAAAAGCTAATTTTTTTTTTTTTTTTTAGAAAACCACCACCTGGCTGGGTGTGATGGCTCACACCTGTAATCCCAGCACTTTGGGAGGGTGAGGCGGGCGGATCATCTGAGGTCAGGAGTTCGACACCACCCTGGCCAACATGGTGAAACCCCATCTCTACTAAAAATACAAAATGTGGCGTAGTGGTGGGTGCCTGTGATCCCAGCTACTTGGGAAGCTGAGGCTGGAGAATCACTTGAACCCAGGAGGTGGAGGTTGCAGTGACTGGAGATTGCACCACTGCACTCCAGCCTGGGTGACAAGAGCGAAACTCCGTCTCAAAACAGATAAAAAAAAAAAAAACCCACCACCTGTGATGGGTGAGGGAAGCAAAGTGTAAGCCACTGCGCCTAGCCCACAGGCATTGTTTTTGAGGACATTCCTCAGTCATACCCCTGCATACAAATATCTATCTCAGAATCTGTGTCATGGAGAAACTGACTGAGGACACATCTGCTCCTAGGACGTAGAGACACGGTCTGCAGACAACCCCTTGTAGGCAAGGATTGTGATGGGGATCACCCCTCCTTCCAGCCTCCTACCGAGACAAGCAGTGTCTGAGTGGGGCTTGGAAGAGTTCATAGATGATGCTGCATCCCGGATGCAGACTGAGATCACTCTCCAGTTAGAGAACCGGACAGTTACCTGTTACCACCAGATCCAGCAAGTTGCTGGGCTCTGACCAGAGCTCCCCAACCCGATAGATGCAGCTGTATTGCCCTGCCATGCGGGAGTTCATGTCCGGGATGTAGAATTTGACTTTGTTAATCCGCTCAGGGGGTTTTGGTCTGTCCACGGCAAAAAGGCTTCCTTCAAAGTGCAGCTGGTATTCAACAGCCCCATAATTTCCCTGGCAACAGATGGTCACTTGCTTTTCCTTTGGAACCATGAAATGGGGCTCGGCCCAGATGAACGGTTTTGGGAGAGTCTCTGGAAGGGAATCAGAGGCTGGAGTTCCAGCGGAGCCCCCTCCCCCCAACCTTAGGCTCCACCCAGCTGCTGGCCCCAAGCTCTCCTGGGAAGCCAGCACCCTGTCCCCTCTCCCCAGCCGTGCTTGGGTGGAAGGAGCTTGGCCTGAACCCGGAAGAGTGACCCTGGGCTTTGAAGGAAGGACTCACGCTGCTGGGCGCTGATCCTCTGACTCAGACACAGCCCTGGAAGACGGGAGTAATGAGACCTGTTGCCTCCCAGGCACACCGTGATCCCATTCCCCTTCCACGCCAGAACTCACCGACGCAGAGCAGGGCAGGGAGTGTGGAAGACATCGCTCAGATTCTGCCGGCCTAGTGCTGAGCAGTGGGGACTGAGCCGGGCGGGCCAGGGAGATAGATACACAGGAAGTGGTGGGTGAGCACCAGCGCCCATCACCAGAGCGCTTTCACGTTGACTGCTTTCATCAGAACGTTCACAACTCCCCTCCGCCTCTGACCATGAGCTTACAGAAAGGCCGTGGTCCCTCTGACACATCTGTGGTCTAGCCAGCAACTCTGACAATTGTCTGCTCAGCCCAAAATGCATTTCTGGGTCAACTTCTCAATTCTGCAATGTGGAGGTCGTACCCAGAGCTGACTGTGGGAAGTTGTGCCCAATCATGCCCAGAGGAAACCCCCTGAGAATCGTATAAAAACATAGGGAGTTTCACAGTGAGATACTGGAACAGGAATTAAAAGAAATTACAGAATGTGTAAACAAAAACTCAGTTGTATTTAAGAAAACCCAGTTCCCCCCGAGGAAGAGAAAGAGGTGGAGTCCTTTAAACATGAACTGCCTGTTTTTCTGTCTGTGGCTAGTGAGCCTTATCTCTCCCTTTCCCAGGCATTGTGAAGACCCTGTTTCTCTTGCCGTGCGGCTGCAAGATCACTAGACAGGATAACCTCAAGTCGTAAAACATATTTTTCTTGAAAAGTAAGGAATAATGTGATGCATGTCTCAATTGAATAACTGCCTTTGTTTCTTGCTTCTGTAATATGCTTCCCCCTGCACAGATCTCCCCCAACCCCACAAAATGCTTAAAAGGTAACCGGACTCTCTGTTCGAGCCTCAGTCTTTTTGGATGTTAATCTGACTGGGGCCGGTGCACCTAAATAATAATAATAATAATAAATCCTCCTCAACCCCTCGGTCTCTCTGATTCCTAAATTATCCCTCAACAATACCATCTCACACCAGTCAGAATGGCCATTACTGAAAAGCCAGAAATTAACAGATGCTGGTGAGATTGTGGAGCAAAGGGGACACTTATACACTGTTGGTGGGTGTAAATTAGTTCAGCCACTGTGGAAAGCAGTTTGGTTTGGAGATATTTCAGAGAACTACAAACAGAGTTACCATTCAGCCCAGCAATCCCATCGCTGGGTATATAGCCAAAGGAAAATAAATCATTCTACCAAAAAGACACATGCACTTGTATGTTCATTGCAGCAGGATTCACAATAGTGAAGACATGGAATCCACCCAGGTCCCATCAGAGGTGGACTGGATAAAGACAATGTGATATGTATACACCACAGAACGCTATACAGCCTTGAAAAATCACAAGATTATGTCCTTTGCAGCAACATGGATGCAGCTAGAGGCCATTATCCTAAGCGAGTTAACACAGAAACAGAAAACCAAATACTGGCCAGACACGGTGGCTCACGCCTGTCATCCCAGCACTTTGGGAGGCTGAGGCAGGTGGATCACCTTAGGTCGGGAGTTCGAGACCAGCCTGACCAACATGCAGAAACCCTGTCTCTACTAAAAATTCAAAATTAGCCGGGTGTGGTGGCACATGCCTGTAGTCCCAACTACTCGGGAGGCTGAGGCAGGAGAATTGCTTGAACCTGGAAGGTGAAGGTTGCAGTGAGCCGAGATGGTGCCATTGTACTCCAGCCTGGGCAACAAGAGTGAAACTCCATCTCAAAAAAAAAAAAAAAAAAGAAAAGAAAACCAAATACCACATGTTCTCACTTATAAGTGAGAGCGCTAAACATTGGGTAAGGAGGGGAGCAAGGCTTGAAAATCTACCTATTTGGTGACTAGATCATTAATGCAAGCCTCAGCATCATGCAATATACTCATAAAAAACCTGCACATGTATCTGCTGAATCTAAAAAGATAAAAATAGGGGTTTTGACGTTGGCTTCTCTGTGTACAGTATACATATGCTTGGATAAGTTAATTGGTTTCATCAGAATGGAATGATAACACTAACTTCTTCAAAGATAGTGTTATAATGTTTCAATAAAATAAAAGTGAAAAGAAAAGCTTTTCATTTAAAGAACTTAATAAGAAAAGAAACATTTCTTTTCTTTTTCTTTTTCTTTCTTTTTTTTTTTTTTTTGAGACAGAGTCTTGCTCTGTTGCCCAGGCTGTGGTGCAGTGGTGTGATCTCAGCTCACTGCAACCTCTGCCTTGTGGGTTCAAGCAATTCTCCTGCCTCAGCCACCTGAGTAGCTGGGACTACAGACACCCAACACCACGCCCAGCTCATTTTTGTACTTTTAGTAGAGACCGGTTTTTACCACGTTGGCCAGGATGGTCTCCAACTCCTCACCTCAAGTGAATCTTCCTGCCTCGGCCTCTCAAAGTGCTGGGATTACAGGTGTGAGCCACCACACCCAGCCAAGAAACATTTCTTTTAAGTAAGTAACTAACTCTCCACTTAATAAAAAAAAATTCTATGCAGAAGTTGTTAAGATCTACAGTAAGAAAAAAGAAATTCATGCATTTTATATATACACACATATATACATATATACCTTTTATATATATACACATATATACATTTATACATATATGTATACATATATACATATATGTGTATATATACTGCATAGTACCGTACATGTATATATACACATGCATATATACACATACATGTATATGCGTATATATACACATATATGTATATATACACACATGCATACATGCATATATATGTATACACACATGTATGCGTGTATACATACATATATGTATATACATACATGTATGCGTGTATACATACATATATGTATATACATACATATATGCGTGTATACATACATGTATGCGTGTATACATACATATACATATATGTATATACATACATGTATATATACATGTATGTATATATGCATATATGTATATACATACATGCATATATACATGTATGTATACATATACGTATATGTGTATATATGTATATACATATATATATACATGTAAGGTACTATGTAGTTTTCAGCATCCACTGGGGCCTTGGAATATATCCTGGTGGATACATGTGACTACTGTACAAGACTAGTTGTATCTTCTTGAGGCAAACAAATGTGCTAATTCTTTTTTTTTTCTCTTTAAGACGGAATCTCACTCTGTCCCTCAAGCTGGGGTGCAGTGGTGCAATCTCAGCTCACTGCAACCTTCACCTCCTGGGTTCAAGCAATTCTCCTGTTCTAGCCTCCCAAGTAGCTGGGATTACAGGCGTGTGCCACCACACTCGACTAATTTTTGTATTTTTAGTAGAGACAGGGTTTCCCCATGTTGGCCAGGCTAGTCTCGAACTCTTGACCTCAAGTGATCAGCCCACTTTAGCCTCCCAAAGTGCTGGGATTACAGGCGTGAGCCACCACACCCAGCCCGCCTCCTTCTTATTTACTGAAGATTCAGTACTCGGTGCTGGCGTTTCCCCTTACACAGCTGTCATAACTCTGGGTGTTTTCTTTATCCTTCCCCCTACGGAGCGCTTGGATGCCCTCTATGGAGGAGACTTATGTAGGCTGGATCCTCAGACCTCAGCCACCCTCTCAGCCATAACATAGTTACCTTCACCAAAGAAATATAAGAATATTGTCTTTTATTATTTTGAGCTTTTAATTTTGACATAATTCCAGACTTGCAAAAATAGTTTAAAGAATTTCTGGCCAGGTGCAGTGGCTCACACCTGTAATCCCAGCACTTTGGGAGGCCGAGGTGGGTGGATTGCTTGAGACGAGCCTGGGGGAAAAAAAAATGCAAAAATTAGCCAGGTGTGGTGCTGTGCGCCTATAGTCCCAGCTACTTGGGAGGCTGAGGTGAGAGGGTCATCTGAGCCCAGGGAGGTAGAAGCTGCAGTGAGCCATGATCGTGCCACTGCACTCTAGCCTGGGTGACAGAGTGTTACCCTGTCTATAAAAAAAAAAAAAATCTGTAATTTCTTCATCCAGATTTCCCCAAAGTTAGCATTTTACCACATTTGCTTCATCATTCAGCCTCTCTCCCTCTCCCTCTCTCCCCGAAGAAAGTGTGTCTAATTTGCATATGATGCCCTAAACCTCTAATCACTTCAGGTTATATTTCCCAAAACCAAGGACATTCTGTTATTAATGTTCAAGGTCAAGAAATAGCACTGATATGACACTATTGTCTGATCTATCCACTTTATTCAAATTTCACCACTTGTTTTACCAGTGACATATATTTGGTTTAGGATTTAATCCAAGATTACACAATTTATTTAATTGTCATGTCTCTCTTATTTGGAGATGGAATCTTGCTCTGTAGCCCAGGCTGGAGTGCAATGGTGTGATCTCAGCTCACTGCAACCTCCGCCTCCTGGGTTCAAGCAATTCTCCTGCCTCAGCTTCCTGAGTAGCTGGGATTAGAGGCACCCACAACCACGCCCAGCTAATTTTTGTATTTCTAGTAGAGATGGGGTTTCGTCAAGTTGGCCAGGCTGGTTTCGAACTCCTGAACTCAACTGATCCACCTGCCTCAGCCTCCCAAAGTGCTGGGATTAGAGGCATGAGCCACCACGCCCAGCCTCCTTTAAAAAATAAAACTATAGACTTTATTCTGATTTCACCAGTTTTTCCACTAGCATCCTTTCTTCGCTCCAGGAGCTCCAGTGATCCGCCTGCCTCAGCCTCCCACCTGCCTCGGCCTCCCAAGGTATTGGGATTACAGGTGTGAGCCATCTGGATCTATTTAATTCAGCCTTAAGCCCACACCAGCATTCCTGGGACTGTCCCCCCTCTACAGACTCTAAGCCATGTTTGAGATGATGAATTTCAAGTCGTGATTCAATCACTTAAGTGGTAAGTGACACAGAGGATATTACTAATCTTTTTTTTTTTTTTTTTGAGATGGACTCTTGCTCTGTCACCCATGCTGGAGTGCAGTGGCGCAATCTCGGCTCGCTGCAAGCTCTGCCTCCGGGGTTTATGCCATTCTCTTGCCTCAGCCTCCTGAGTGGCGCAATCTCGACTCACTGCAAGCTCTGCCTCCCGAGTTTATGCCATTCTCCTGCCTCAGCCTCCTGAGTAGCTAGGACTACAGGTGCCCACCACCACGTCCGGGTAATCTTTTTTTTTTTTTTTTTTTTTTCAAAGTAGAGATGGGGTTTCACCATGTTAGCCAGGATGGTCTCCATCTCCTGACCTCGTGATCCGCCCTTCTCGGCCTCCCAAAGTGCTGGGATTACAGGCGTGAGCCACCGCACCCGGCCTTTTTTTGGTATTTAAAAATATAACTTTATTGAGATATAATTTACATGCCATACAATTACCCATTAAAAGTGCATAATTCAATGGTTTAAATTTTGTGGTATTCACGGAGTTGGTGCAACCGTCAACACAGTCTAATTTTAGAATGTTGTCATCACTGCCCTTCAGAACCCCATGCCGACCAGCTGCCCATCACCACGATCCCCTCACTCTCCCGGCCCTAGGCAACCACTCATCTTCTGTCTCTAAACACCAGAAGGTACTTTTCAAAAATTGTGGCAAAATACACATAACATACATTTTAATATTTAAGAAGTTTTCTAAGGCCAGGTGCAGTGGGTCATGCCTGTAATCCCAGCACTTTGGGAGGCCGAGGTGTGCGGATCACCAGGTCAGGTGATCCAGACTGTCAGGCCTCTGAGCCCAAGCTAAGCCATCATATCCCCCTGTGGCCTGTATGTACACATCCAGATGGCCGGTTCCTGCCTTAACTGATGACATTCCACCACGAAAGAAATGAAAATGGCCTGTTCTTGCCTTAAGTGATGACATTATCTTATGAAATTCCTTCTCCTGGCTCATCCCGGCTCAAAAGCTCCCCTACTGAGCACCTTGTGAACCCCACTCCTGCCCGCCAGAGAACAACCCCCTTTTGACTGTAATTTTCCTTTACCTACCCAAATCCTATAAAACGGCCGCACTCCTATCTCCCTTTGCTGACTCTCTTTCTGGACTCAGCCCGCCTGCACCCAGGTGAAATAAACAGCCTTGTTGCTCACACAAATCCTGTTTGGTGGTCTCTTCACACGGACGTGAGTGAAATTTGGTGCCATAACTCGAATCAGGGGATCTTCCTTAGGAGATCAATCCCCTGTCCTCCTGCTCTTTGCTCCATGAGAAAGATCCACCTACGACCTCTCGTCCTCAGACCAACCAGCCCAAGGAACATCTCACCAATTTTAAATCCAGTAAGCAGCCTCTTTTTACTCTCTTCTCCAACCTCTCTCACTATCCCTCAACCACTTTCTCCTTTCCACTCTTCAATCTCTCCCTTCTCTTAATTTCAGTTCCTTTCCTTTTCTGGTAGAGACAGGAGACGCGCTTTATTCGTGGACCCAAAACTCCAGCGCCGGTCATGGACTCGGGAAGGCAGCCTTCCCTTGGTGTTTAATCACGCAGGGACACCTCTCTGATTATTCACCCACGTTTCAGAGGTGTCTGACCACATGGGGATGCCTGCCTTGGTCCTTCACCCTTAGTGGCAAGTACTGCTTTTCTGGGGGGGCAAGAACCCCCAACTCCTTCTCTGTGTCTCTACCCCTTCTCTGCTTTTCTGGGGGGGCAAGAACCCCCCAACCCCTTCTCCTTCACCCTTAGTGGCAAGTACCGCTTTTCTAGGGGGCAAGAATCCCCCGATCCCTTATTTCTGTGCCCTGACGTCTTATCTCTGCACCCCGATCCCTTATTTCCACACCCCGACCTCTTGTCTCTGCACCCCAATCCCTTACTTCTGTGCCCTGACCCCTTTCCCGCTTTTCTGGAAGGTAAGAACCCCTGAACCCCTTCCCTCCATGTCTCTACTCTCTCTTTTCTCTGTGCTTGCCTCCTTCAGTATGGGCAACCTTCCACCCTCCATTCCTCCTTCTTCTCCCTTAGCCTGTGTTCTTAAAAACCTAAAACCTCTTCAACTCACACCTGACCTAAAACCTAAATGCCTTATTTTCTTCTGCAATGCTGCTTGACCCCAATACAAACTTGACAGTGGTTCCAAATAGCCAGAAAACGGCACTTTCAATTTTTCCATCCTACAAGATCTAAATAATTCTTGTTGTAAAATGGGCAAATGGTCTGAGGTGCCTGACATCCAGGCATTCTTTTACACATCGGTCCCTCCCTAGTCTCTATGCCCAGTGCAACTCGTCCCAAATCTTCCTTCTTTCCCTCCCGCCTGTCCCGTCAGTCCCAACCCCAAGCATCGCTGAGTCTTTCTAATCTTCCTTTTCTACAGACCCATCTGACATCTCCCCTCCTCGCCAGGCCGAGCTGGGTCCCAATTCTTCCTCAGCCTCCGCTCCTCCACCCTATAATCCTTTTATCACCTCCCCTCCTCACACCCGGTCCAGCTTACAGTTCCATTCCATGACTAGCCCTCCCCCAACTGCCCAGCAATTTCCTCTTAAAAAGGTGGCTGAAGCTAAAGGCATAGTCAAGGTTAATGCTCCTTTTTCTTTATCTGACCTCTCCCAAATCAGATAGTGTTTAGGCTCTTTTTCATCAAATTTAAAAACACAGCCCAGTTCATGGCTCATTTGGCAGCAACCCTGAGACGCTTTACAGCCCTAGACCCTAAGTCAAAAGGCCGTCTTATTCTCAATATACATTTTATTACCAAATCTGCTCCCAACATTAAATAAAGCTCCAAAAATTAAATTCTGTCCCTCAAACCCCACAACAAGACTTAATTAACCTCGCCTTCAAGGTGTACAGTAATAGAGTAGAGGCAGCCAAATAGCAACATATTTCTGAGTTGCAATTCCTTGCCTCCACTCCAGTATCCAGATGAGACAAACCCCAGCCACATCTCCAGCACACGAGAACTCCAAACGCCTGAACCGCAGCTGCCAGGGGTTCCTCCAGAACCTCTTCCCCCAGGAGCTTGCTACAAGTACTGGAAATCTGGCCACTGGGCCAAGGAATGTCCACAGCCTGGGATTCCTCCTAAGCCGCATCCCATCTGTGCGGGACCCCACTGAAAATCGGACTGTTCAACTCACCTGGCAGCCACTCCCAGAGCAGCTAGAACTCTGGCCCAAGGCTCTCTGACTCCTTCCCAGATCTTCTCGGCTTAGCAGCTGAAGACTGACACTGCCCGATCCCGATCGCCTCAGAAGCCTACAGGACCATCACAGTCTAGGTAACTCTCACAGTGGAAGGTAAGCCCGTCCCCTTCTTAATCAATATGGAGGCTACCCACTCCACATTACCTTCTTTTCAAGGGCCTGTTTCCCTTGCCTCCATAACTGTTGTAGGTATTGACAGCTAGGCTTCTAAACCTCTTAAAACTCCCCAACTCTGGTGCCAACTTAGACAATACTCTTTCAAGCACTCCTTTTCAGTTATCCCCACCTGCCCAGTTCCCTTATTAGGCTGAGACACTTTAACTAAATTATCTGCTTCCCTGACTGTTCCTGGACTACAGCTATATCTCATTGCTGCCATTCTTCCCAATCCAAAGCCTCCTTTGCTTCCTCCTCTTGCATCCCCCCACCTTAACCCACAAGTATAGGATACCTCTACTCCCTCCTTGGTGACCGATCATGCACCCCTTACCATCTCATTAAAACCTAATCACCCTTACCCCACTCAACGCCAATATCCCATTCCGCAGCACGCTTTAAAAGGATTAAAGCCTGCTACAGCATGGCCTTTTAAAGCCTATAAACTCCCCTTACAATTCTCCCATTTTACCTGTCCTAAAACCAGACAAGGCTTACACATTAGTTCAGGATCTGCGCCTTATCAACCAAATTGTTTTGCCTATCCACCCCGTAGTGCCAAACCCATATACTCTCCTATCCTCAATACCTGCCTCTACAACCCATTATTCTGTTCTGGATCTCAAACGTGCTTTCTTTACTATTCCTTTGCACCCTTCATCCCAGCCTCTCTTCGCTTTCACTTGGACTGACCCTGACACCGATCAAGCTCAGCAAATTACCTGGGCTGTACTGCCGCAAAGCTT